>NC_000003.12:167644967-167796483 GCF_000001405.40 Homo sapiens | reverse complement strand
TAACGCATGCAAGGCTTAATACCTAGGTGATGAGTTGATAGGTGCAGCAAACTACCATGGCACACGTTTACCTATGTAACAAACCTGCACATTCTGCACATATATACCAGACCTTAAAATAAAATAAAATATAAAAAATAGAAAATATATGGCTATATATTTATAGTTATATATTATGAATATATAACATGACATGCTATATAATAAATTATGACATAACATAATATTCCATATTATGAATATATTATAAAACAATTTTCCAGGCAAAAACTCCATAGTTCCAAATAGATCTCCTTCACTTACATAACAAACTATCAGCTAAGTTTTTAGAAACATTGATATTTACATAAAATGTAATCCTTAAATGATAATTCCTAAAATTAGAATAAATATGAATGGGTTAATCAGTTATTAATAATTCATCTTTAATACTAATAACTCATTTATCACCTTAATGCTCACAGTAATTAATCATACTTGAACAATTTTCTTAATATGGAATGTGTTTTAACTGTACTTTCACGTACATACATACGTATATATTTAATCTGTTTTTATTGATATGTCTTGTTTTCTAGACTAAAATTTACATAGTATGCTAATAAACATGTTCTACGTGTTTACTGGCCTAGTTTTCCTACTAGGTTTTAAGGTATTCAAGGATAGAATAAACATTTTCAGTTCAGTTTCATTTTGTAAACACTTACTGTGTTCTTTCTACAGGAAGGAAAACTGGCTCTACCCTAGAACTTACAGAAAGAAAACTAGCCCTACAAAAAGATAATGTTATTATGGGATGGTAACAAGTAATAACAGAAAGGTGTATAAGTGAAGCAAAAATGAGGGTAACTTGCTCCAGGTAGTTCCATGGGAGGCTTCAGAGAAGAACTGGTTCTAGAGGTGTACCCTGAAGGCTAAGCAACACTATCTTGGGAAAGAAATATGAGGAGGGCAGTTTAGGCCAATGCAAGAACATAAGTGGAGATTCAGAGACATGAAAAGAGCATGATGTACGTGGCATAATCACAAGTACATGGACAGAACATGCTACAACATGCTTGATGTGGTGAGTGGCCAGAAATGGGGTTGAGAAGGGGATGGCATTCAGGACATCAAAGGCATTGTGTGCATCTTATTCTTTTAGCCACAGGGAGAATTTTGAGCAGAGTTGCATCTTCCTGCTAATTTATGGTTGCATCTCAGCACCTAGCACAGTGACTTGCTTGCAGTTCTTCTAGCAATGTCAGAGATTGTTTCCTCTCCAGTCATAATCAATCTTAAGTGTTAATAAAATACAGAAGACTGTCAATGCAAATGATATTCAGACAAAACAGATAGATAAATTTTCTAAAACAAAGACAAGAACACTGAATTATATCTGAAACTAGGTCTCGATGAATAGCACCGAATGAACCAATAAGTGAGCATGTGTCTACGGGAAGGACCACATGAGTATGAAAGAAATGACTATGAAAGAATACTAAAAAGAAGAAAATCAAAGAAGAAGGAGAAGGAGAAAGAGAAGGAGAAGAACAAGAATAAGAAGAGAGTGGCACAAGAATTATAATTCGAAAGCAGTTCGAAGAGTTTTTCTGGGTCAGATTTTCATTGATAGCCCATCGTCCATGCTGTGGGACGGGTGACACAGGAACCTCATACCTGGGCAGGTATACTTCTACTTTTTGCTTCTTCACAGAGTTTGCCCATTCTTCAACCAGCTGTGCTTTGACTAATGGCTCCAGAGTAGCAAGAGGAACTTCCTGTCTGGACAGCACCAGCATCATGCTTATTTCATCTCCTTCATATGGTATTTCTAGGACTTGGTAGATACCACCAGCTTCATTGGAGCCATCACTAAATTCCCCTAAAAAGAAAATAAAGGCCATAAAAGATGCCTATCAAAGCTTAAAAAAAGCTGGGGGCGAGAGATGAAAGACTACATATTTGGTATAGTGTACACTGCTCAGGTACTTGTGCAACAAAATCTCACAAATCACCACTAAAGAAGTTTTTCATGTAACCAAAAACACTTGTTCCCCAAAAGTATTGAAATAAAATCTAAAAAAAAATAAATAAAAAGGTTTAAATTTGTTATATATGTTTCTTCCCAAATAGTATATAGAATATAAAGAAATTCAAGCATCTGATAAAAAGCAGGTTTATTTGAAAATAGGCCCTAAAATTCAAATAAGTTCACAGCCCTGTATAATTTATTTTATTTTAGAATCCACAGAATTATTTCACATTTATAATAACATGTATTCAAGACTTGATTTTTATTTTTAAATGAGATAATTCAATATATCTGAAGTGTAGCATTAGAAACAATGAAAAGCCCTGGTTAGAAAAATAAAGCCTTGGCTCCAAGTTGACTGCAAAGCACATTGATCAATATTCACCTGATTTTTAAGAAGGGAAAATTTGACCATTTAATACCTGGCACTTTATTATCACAAAAACTACAAGTTTTAAAGCAAAGTTTGCAGAGTCAAAATGAAATCTAAGCATTGTATAATATTTAGCTATTATATTTGTGAATATTGATATCTCCAAATTAGGTAATTAGGTAAATGAGGCAATTGGCTTTGTGCTCTATGAACTTAGCCAAATTAACACACACACACACACACACACACACACACACATACATATGGCCAAAATGAACTATATATATATACACACAGTATATATAGTTTTATCTACATATAAAACCTGTATGTATATAATTTTAGAGACAGGGTCTTGCTCTGCCACCTAAGCTGGAGTGCGGTGGTGTGATCATAGCTCACTGCAGCCTCAAACTCTTGGGCTCAAGTGATCTTCCTCCTTCAGCCTCCCAAGTAGCTAGGACTATAGGTATGTACCATTATGCCTAGCTAATTAAAAATATATATATATATATATATATTTGTAGAGAAAGGGTCTTGCTGTGTTGCCCAAGCTAGTCCGAACTCCTGGCTTCAAGGAATCCTCCTACCTCTGTCTCTCAAAGTACTGGGATTACAGGCATGAGCCACAGCAGCTGGCCTGTACTGTGCTTTTAATAGAATAAAACTACTAGTACTAACATATACCTGGCTAAAAATTACCTTTCTGATTATGACTTAACAAATTATTACAAGTCAATATAGTGGATAAGAAGGACTAATACCCTAAACTTCTGAAGAGTCCAATAAAACACCTTTGAAAATAATGCCAAAGATATTGAATTATATTAAAAATTATAGGCTCTCAATAAATTAAAGCATAAACAAACAATTATGTTTGGCCATACATACACATGTCTAAAATCAAATTTTTTTAAAAGTCTTTGTATAAGAAGAATGTTTGTAATTTAAAAAGTGGTGCAGAGCCTAAATCAAGTGCTTCGTGGAACATATGGTTCACTAAAACCCATCCTAAACCCAATGAGTTTTTGGAGTAAATCAGAACATTCTCACACAATGTCAGGTATTTTCAGATGAATAAAGCTACTCTGCAGGTGTGGTTGACTTATAAATTTGAAAATACTCTGGAAACCATCAATGAATATAATATTTACTCAGAAACTAATTAGAGGGTTTTTAAAATGGAGCCAAAAAATTGAATTGTAGCCCAAATTAGATTGACAAGGAGTTTGAATATGAATGCTTCATGTTTTTCTTAGAAATCTGTTGATATTCTGCAAGAAGAGAGAAATAAAAGCAAAAAATGTCTTACCATAATAAAATTCTCCTTGCTGATACATCATTGGAATTTGGACTTCACTTTCATCATCTTTAGTGAAAGAAAAGGTTCTAGTATTTTCAGGCCTAAACTGCGACTTCCAGTTCCCCTTGAAATAGACAGCATTAATGAGGGCCAGATAAGTGGCAGCATCAAAATCCCTTGGGGATACCAAATCTTTCACCAGATCTATTTAGGAAAAAATGAATAGATAAAAATTCATGTTAAACTGGAAGATCAAGGGGGACCAGAAGATTTTCAAATCACCATCTGATAGAGTGGTCCAGAGAAACTGTACACCAAATTTACAATGAAAATAAAAAGTATCTTACTTCCAAAGGGAAAAGAGTTATACACACACACATACACACACACTACATATATATATATGTGTGTGTGTATATATATATATGTGTGTATATATATATGTGTGTGTATATATATATAAAAAAGAAATTAAGGGCATTCAAAACACCCGTATCACCTGAAATAATACTAGTAGCTTCCTGATACACAAACTACAGAACCACATACAATATAAGCTTAGACTTAATCACTTTCTAGTTGCAATGATGCATGTAAAACTCTTAACACAGAGTAAACACTCAATAAATGCTTCAAAGTTTATTCTGTTTTTTGTTTGTTTGTTTGTTTTACAAACAGTCTCTCTGTGTCACCTAGGCTGGAGTGCAATGGTATGATCTCTGCTCACTGCAAACTCTGTCTCCTGGGTTCAAGTGATTCTCATGCCTCAGCCTCCTGAACAGCTGGGATTACAGGTGTGTGCCACCACACCTGGCTAATTTCTGTATTTTTAGAAGAGATGGGGTCTCACCATGTCAGCCAGGCTGGTCACAAACTCCTAGCCTCAAGTGATCCACTCCACTTGGCCTCCCAGAGTGCTGGGATTACAGGGCATGAGCCACTGTGCCCAGTCCTAAGTTTATTCTTGAACAATGTACGTGATTAAATTATCAATTTCAAATTCTTCCCTGTGTATACTGGACATCATTCTGCCAATATACCAATTGCTTTTGGGTAGGTGAAAACAGATGAATGAAAGCCAGTTTAAATCATGATGTATTAGTGTTTATCATCTGAAATATTCCTTTCCAAATCTATTTTAAAGGATATTGGGTCTTTGCTGTTTGCTAAACGTGTCTAAAGGAGTTTGAAAACAAATGGGTTTTAATAGTTGAATCTACTTCATATGCATTATCACCCCTTGATGTATTCTTTGACTATTAAAAGACTACATTTAAGTTTCTTTTATTGTCATCTTTTTTTAATCTCATAGATAAAAAACATATGACAAAAATTTGCTCTGTATTCTCTCATTGTATTAATCATGGCACTTCTTAAGGTAAAAGATGCCTACATCTTGGAGATTAAGGGATATTGAGTATCTGTTCAGGGTTATTTTTGTTGTTGTTCCAATGTAAAGTTCAAGATTAACATGATTTGGGTAGCTTTGAAAATATGGCTTCATTTAATGAACAGCTATAAAAATTTACTTTTAATTTAGTCTCAATTTTAGGACTGTGATTTCAATTATTTTGCTGGTAAAATTGGAAAATAAAATGCTAAAATATGAAACATTTGGAAACCCTAAATACATTTTAAAAATATAAAATAGCAATAAAATTTCGAATGAATGCATCTCATTCTAATTTCTCTCCATTTTGGGGGACTTAAAATAAGCTGCTCTTTTGAAAATGAATCATATACAAATGTTTTAAATTACCAATGAAGTTCTTTGGTTCAAAAGCCAACAAACCTGTATAAACTCTGATTTTTAATTCTTTTTTACTCTATTTTAATCACATTGTTATGAAAGCCAACTGCCATTCTATCTAGTAACTAATTTATTAAATAGGACAAGCAAAATTTCATAAAGTGGTTAAGATTACAGAGGAAACCCATCAATCAGAGAGTAAAGATTTCAGATTATCACTGCCAAATTCTATATATGCCAAAAGATTTAACTTCTTTCTCAAATGTTCATTCATAACAATGTTTCTCAAATAGGCCATAATCTATACAAAATAATTATTAGATACCCAACTAAATGCTCTCAAACATTCAAAATGCAAAAGGAACAAGGAGGAAATACTTTCAGAAGTTAAAGACAGTTAAAACTAAGCTACTAGAGGAAGAAAGGAACCAAGTGACATACTGTTTGTGTTATTCTCCACCCACTTATTGATGTAGTTGGCCACGGCTACATTTTGACTGAAGTCCACATGATTTACTGCTGCATTAAAATATTTTTTCATCATTTGCAAAAACTCCTCATTGACATGAAATCCATTTTGCACAAACAAGGAATTGGCAATTTTCATCACATATTGGCTCTCTTTAGCAGTTACCATGTTTGAAAACTCCTTCAAGAAAGAAAATTCTTCACCTGAAAGATGAGAAAGGATAAGTTTATTTGTAGAACAAACACGGTGAAATGTCAAGGAGAGTGGAGGAGCATTAAAGCACAGCAAGGGAGATTAACCAAACAGGCACCTGGGGGAAAAGTGCCAGGCTTTCCCCCACATTGATATGGTCCAATACTTGTACTATTTCTAGATGCTCAAATTAACTTTTTGCAAGTTAATATCATCTACTGATATTATTTTTTATTTCATTGTTATTTTGCTACAATCTATAGAGACTGTTTTCTTCCAAATTACTAGGTTACTTTGATGAAATTAAACTTCTTTTATACTATTAGAAAAAAGTACCTAGTTTAAAATTCAAGATCATCCTTTACATTTTACTCAGTAGACCTTTTAATTTTAAAACTAGAAAAGCCATTAGAAATTGTTTTAATTTTTAACTTTTTAATGAGCTAATTCACACGTATATCAGAGCATTAAAATAGAAATCAAACATCATGTCAAAGTGATTACAAAATACCATTAGGCTAGAAATTTCCCCCAATACATAGAATTTTTATAATAAGATAACACTTCAAAAAAAATCTTGGATGCTATTTAAACAAGAGGATACTGCTGATTTTAAGCAAAAATTTCTGATATTCTTAGCAAACCATGCTGTCTTTCTTTGTAGTACTCATCATATTTGTAATTTTTCATTTATTTGTGCGATAAATATGTGCCTCTCTCTCTACACTGAAAACTCCAGAAAAATGTTTGCTTTTTTTGATCACAAGGAGTTTATGTAAATCATAATAATTTTTAAAAGATGTAATTTCCTTAGATTCATTCAGCCAGAAGTGGAATCAGGAATTAACACATTTCTTGGGTTTCCTAATCCTTCTAGCCATACCATTTCAATGAGATTGTTTTTTACCCTGTGTAAATATTGCTGTGTCTAGAATAAGAATACAACATAACTGAGTCAAAGTCAAATTCAAAAGTCTTGAGAAATCAAACCTGATCACTCTTACCATTTTTTAGGCTGTCATATCCCATTGAGTGGCGGATTTCTTTCTGGGTAGATCCTTGGGCCCCAAGTTCCATCATTCCCATTGCAAGAGCAATACTCAATGGAGAGAAGAGAATATTTTCATCTTCACCAGTGGCTCTAAGACGATTATACATATTCACTGACAAGTCAGCAATGGCTTCCTCAGGGAAAGTGGCCCCTGTAGCCATACTTTGCAGAACCAGCAAAGAGAAGAGTCCAAGGAAAGCCATATTGTAACAGTTTCAAGCCTAAAAAACAACAATTTACATATTAATTATTAGTTATCTCTATAACAAAAGTCTCATGGAAGGATATGTTGGGAGGTTCTACTTTTAAAAAGTCAATTAACAGTTAAATGAACAAATAACACTGCTAAGTTCTGAGGATTCTCCCAGGAACAAGATACCATGGTCCCCACCTTCACGGGGTTAAGAGTATGTATAGTTACTTATACAACAAGTAATTACAAGTCATGTTTGGTGAAACTAATTTATCAGTTTTTCATAGCCTCGCCAAATACAGTTTGATCATGACTTTGAATGGACTTACTCTAGCTTTCACTAAACTACATAGGTCTAGGACAAGTATAATGAAAACCAAAAGATATTTACAGGGCTTAAGATGAACTAGCACCACTAGGCATTTGAAAATGTCACTGCACCCATTTATAAAGTAAATGCACCTTGCAGCTGGGTTACCAACTGGTGAGCGGAGATCAGACATATACCTGCCTCAAATCCCAGTTTATTCATTCCAGGTTGCAGAGTCCACAGGAAGTGGTAAACCAGAGAAGGAGCAGACTCAGCACATCCTTGTGTGATTGTTCCTCACGTATTGGTTCCTAGGAGGTTGCTGCTCTCCCAGTGACAATCTTTGGGCAGGGAGGAGCCCCCTACCAAAGTTGAGAATGAGGCTGAATTCTTGCTACGACACAGTCCATTTATATTCAGGCTTATGTTACCATTTCAGCTTACACCAAACAAACTGGTGTTTCTATTTAAATTAATATTTCTAATTATCAGGCTCATCAGGTTCTTGAACCAAATTGAAGGGCATCAAGGCCACATTTTCTCTTGGAGAAAAAAAAGCACCGTCAGTGCCCAGATATCTCTGAATAATATCTCTGCTTCTTGGCATGCCAGTGTTCCAGAAGCCCTGTCTTCCCACAAACAGCCTGACTTGTGCACACTGGGGACACGATTTCCTCTTTCCTTTGTATTCTCCCATTTTGTCACTGCAGGCATTTGGAAAGCTAAACTGTTTATTCATACAATTAAGTAACTTACTTGTTCTTGATCATTTAAAAAAATCACTAAAACAACATGTCAAGTGATATTGAGCAAATGCATTTGGAAAATTGTATTTTAATTATGGTTGAGCATTAATAGTCTCCATTATTCAATTAACAGAGTACATACACATTTAACTGAAGAGCAGAGTGATTCCAACAGGCTTATGAATTAGAAGATCCTAATCAGTCCTGTAACATTTATTTGTAACTCCAATTTCAGAGAACTGCCTGGTGACTTTGTAAGTCCTTCACATTTTCATGTTAGAAGCAACAGTTTTTTTGTCTGAAAAGTTCCAACGTCCTCTGCCCTCACCCCTTCACCCTCCTGCATTTGTATGGAAGTTTAAATAGTTATTGCTTGTTTAGGAAGGTAAGTCTCAGCCTCTTTGTAAATATGAACTCTCACCACCTCCGTTGCTAATGGGATGACAGCTAATGGGAGATGGAGTGCACTGCTGCGGGGCAGGCTCTGTCACTCATGCAGCATTAGGATAAAGCCAGGTGCCAAGAGCACAGCAGCCCTGCCAGTCTACTGATTTCAGCCACCGTTGGGGGGCTGCCACTGCTTTGGCATTCTTACTTCCTTTTGTACTCCAGAGAACTCCAGGAAAAGGCAGAAGCTTTACTCGTGGTGACGCATGTGATAGGTTTAAACAAACCTACTGTACTGCAAGTTGTATAAAAGTATAGCACAATTACATACAATACACAATACTTGATAATGATAATAAATGACTGTGTTACTGGTTTATGTATTTACTATACCATACTTCTTATCATTTTAAAAAAATAACTGTTATACAGCCTCAGGCAGATCCTTCAGGAGGTATTCCAGAAGAAGGCATTGTTATCACAGGAGATGACAGCTCCATGGGTGTTATTGCCCCTGAAGACCATCTAGTGGGATAAGATGTAGAGGTGGAAGACAGTGATGTTGATTAACCTGATCATGTGCAGGCCTGGGCGAATATGTGTATTTGTGTCTTAAGTTTTAACAAAAATGTTTAAAAAGTAAAAATATAAAAATAAAAAGTAGAAAATTAGAAAAAAAGCTTATAGAGTAAGGATATAAAGAAAGAAAATGCTTTTGTACAGCTGTATGATGTGTCTGTGTTTTAAGTGTTGTTACACACTTACACACTTACTGAACACAGCTTGCATGGGTAGAAGTTCTTTGGGTAAGTGAGTGAGTAAGAGGTAAGTGAATATGAAGCCTAGGACATTGCTGTACACTACTGGAGCCAGATGTGGTGGCATTACAAAACGGTCAAAAAGTTTTTTAAACATTTAAAACTTTATAAAGTATAAAAGTTACAGTAAGTGAAAGTTAATTTATTATTGAAGAAAGGCATTTTTAATAAATTTAGTATAGCCAAAGTATACAGTGTTTATAAATTCTACGGTAACATACAGTAATGTTCTAGGCATCACACTCACTGACCACTCATTCACCGATTTACCCAGAAAACTTCTACCCATGCAAGCTCCATTCATAGTAAGTGTCCTTTACAGGTACATCATATTTTATCTTCTTTAAGTCTTTTTTTTTTTTTTTTTTTTGAGACGGAGTCTCCCTCTGTCGCCCAGGCTGGAGTGCAGTGGTGCGATCTCGGCTCACTGCAACCTCCGCCTCCCGGGTTCACGCCTTTCTCCTGCCTCAGCCTCCCAAGTAGCTGGGACTACAGGCGCCTGCCACAACGCCCGGCTAATTTTTTTTTTGTATTTTTAGTAGAGACGGGGTTTCACCATGTTGGCCAGACTGGTCTCGAACTCCTGACCTCAAGTGATCCGCCCGCCTTGGCCTCCCAAAGTGCTGGGATTACAGGCGTGAGCCACCACACCCGGCCTATCTTCTCCAAGTCTTATATCTTGTCCCACTTATCCAAGGACTGGAAAGGCAGGTTATAGTGTATTTCACTATTCCTTTTCTGTGTTTAGATACACAAATACCACTGTGTTACAACTGCCTACCATATTCAGTACAGTAACATGCTGTACAAGTTTGTAGCCGAGGAGCTACGTAATACCATATAGCCCAGGTGTGTAGTAGGCTATGCTATCTAGGTTTGTGTAAGTATACTCGGTGATGTTGCCACAAGAGTGAAATTGCCTAATGACTCATTTGTTCAAATATATCTCTGTCATTAGGCAATAAGTGTGTAAGACCAAGCAATTAAATTTACTGTATGATACTTGTATCTGTCAGTCAATAACACAACTATTTGGAAACCACTGCATTTAACATGAATATCATATTTTAGGCTAAGAAAAATATTGTATTTGTATAAAACAAAATCCAACCTATTGCCAATAAGCATTCCATAAAACAAGGCAAAATCTACTATGATCCCAGGCATTTTTGTTTACAAATGAACGTACCATGAGATGATAATAATAATAGTTAACATTTTTGAATACTTAAAACAACTATCTTATTTAAACTTTGCAATCACCTTATAAGTACAGACACTTATTATCTCCATTTTATTAATGGAAATGCAGGCTTACAGAGGTTAGGAATTTGCCCAAAGTCACACAGGAAGTGCTAGAGCCAGGATTAGAGCCCAAGCCATCTTTACAGGGTTTTACCTACTAAACTAACCTGGCTCTCCAGTCCTTGGATAAGTGGGACAATATATAAGACTTGGAGAACAAAGACTTGGATGTAAGTCCCAAGTTGGCTATCATGCTGTTTGACCCTCAGCAAGTCACATGAATTCTCTCAGCCCTAGCATCCTCATTAATGAAAAAAGGTATTAATCCGCACTCTGCAAAATTATTAAGGAAATAAATAAGAGAGAGTGTGCAAAGCACTCTTTTTTTTTGAGACACAGTCTCGCTCTGTTGCTAGGCTGGAGTGCAGTGGTGAGATCTCAGCTCACTGCAACCTCCACCTCCCGAGTTCAAGCGACTCTCCTGCCTCTGCCTCCCAAGTAGCTGAGACTACTACAGGCGCATGCCACCACGCCCAGCTAATTTTTGTATTTTTAGTAGAGACGGGGTTTCACCATGTTGGCCAGGATGGTCTCGATCTCTTGACCTCATGATCCACCCGCCTCGGCCTCCCAAAGTGCTGGGATTACAGGTGTGAGCCACCATGCTTGGGGCGAAGCACTCATTTTAACAACAAGTTATTCTAACAGAGGACATTATGAAAAAATGTTTCCTAGGTATCTATATTTTTTTAAGTTAAACAATAGGTCAGAGAACCAAAATGAGTATTTTTATCATGGATATGGTTTTGCTATGTCCCCAGCGAAAATCTCATCTTGAATTGTAATCCCCATAATCCCCAATCTGGTAAAGAGCAGGATCAGGTGGAGGTAATTAGATCATGAGGGCAGCTTCCCCATTGCTGTTCTCATAATAGTGAGTGAGTTTCACAAGATCTGATGGTTTTATAAGCATCTGTCATTTCCCATGCTTGCACTCTCTCCATCCTGCCACCCTGTGAAGAAGTTGCCTGCTTCTTCTTTGCCTTCCACCATGATTGTAAGTCTCCTGAGGCCTCCCTAGCAATGTGGAACTGTGAGTCAATTAAACCTCTTTCCTTTATAAATTACCCAGTCTCGGGTATTTCTTCATAGCCGTGTGAGAACGGACTAATACAATCATCTCTGTTGCCCAACTAATGTAGCACCATTAGCCATTCATTCAGCCAAGACTGATAGAGGTTCCATGAGGTTATCAAAATTTATAAGGACAGGCTCTTGTCCTCAAGGAACTCACATTATTTGCAAGAGTGTACAATTAATATTACAGTGGCTCTTTAAGAAAATAGATCTTTTTAAGAATGAGAAGAATAAATCATCCCTGCAGGAAAATACATGCACATGGATAGCAGAAAATTATATCCACTGGCCAGAATATTCACTGACCTCAGGTTAAAAACCTCTGGTTTACAGAGGTTACAGATGGTCAGATAGAAAAAAAAAGCAATGTTAGATGGACCTGCAGCTCTGCAGGTTTTTCTTACTGGGGAAAATGGGATGTCAAAACCACAGATGTATCTTTGGGCTTCTGGACTCCTGGAAAGAGCTCCCATTATGTTTGTGGGAGAGGGCCTCTGCCAGGGCAGTGGGCAGCAGGCCACTGATGACACATTCTGCCAAGAAATTTGGACCATGTGGCTGTGAATTGTGGGAGCAGGTCCTGTCAGGGAACTCTTTCAGAGAGCTGAAAGAACTCTGCTCTGGAAACACACGTGTCTATCCACAGTTAAGTGATCTTTCTTCCTTTTGAAGGCAAGATGTCCAGCTTGCAAGCAAAATTACCTCTGCTAGTCTACTCTAGCCTCTCTGCTGCTGGTTGCTGGTTGCTGGCTCCCTCCTTTGCCTCTGCTACCTCTGACTTCTCCTGAATGTTGGGTGGTTATTTTTAGTTTCTAGGTTTTTGGCTGGGTGGGCGCTGGAGGGAGTGGTTTCCTTGTTCTACATTTTAAGTGTTGATATTCTCCACAGATCTAGTCCTGGCCCTTCTCTCTTCTTGGTAGTACACTTCTCATGCCCACTGGTGAACTCTCAAAACAAAGATACTTCAACTATTATATCTATTAAGACTATTCCCAAATAAGTAAAATTATAGCTCTGGCTTCATTTTTATCTTAATTTCTGATATGCATTGGTAATTGTTCTTGGGATATTTATTCGTTGATGCCTGCCAGCAGTTTGAATTCAAGGAGGCCCAAACAGGACTCCTTATCTTATCAATCAAACCTACTCTTTTTTCTTTCAATGTCAAAGCATTTGACTCCCCTCCATCTCTTTTTCCCTCATGTTCAATTCATTGTCAAACACTCATTCCATGTTGCACCCTGGGACCTCTCCTGTTGATCATCCCATGGCCATTCCCATGGCCACAATGGCAGTTCTTCCTCTCAATGTATCTCAAGGACTATACCAATGGTTCTGGTTTCCAGCCACTCTCTGAACTGCTGGTTATTGGCCTCTTCAATCCAACATATGCTGAGCCTCCAGATCAATTGTCTTGATACTCCTTATGACCAGGCTATTCCTATGTTTACAAAACCTCAGGAGTTCTCTCATCCCTGTAGACCAAAGCCCAAAATCTTTAGTCCTGAACATAACACAGCATTTGTACTGTGACGCAGCACAACTTTCTACTTACTCTCCTTCATGGATCCTGTAACTCTAGCCAGACTCCGTTTTGCATCAGATACACCAGAATTTTCCTCTCCTATTACTGGCTTGTGTAGTTCTCTTTCTGAAACGAACCTAGCCCAAGTTCCATATGTTCAAATCCAAAGCACTTCTCAAGGTTCTGTTCTATTTTCGTCTCCTTCATGAATACCCGCTTGGTTCTTCAATTAAAACAGCAACTTCCTCCCTCCTTTGAAATCTTGGCAAATTTTTATCTCTACCTCTCCAATAGCACATATCACTGCTTCCTTCTGTTACAGGTAATTTCATACATGGATCATCTCTTGTCCTAAGCTTTTTGAGGACACAAATGGAAGGATATTCATCTTTGTATGTCTTAAGATAATCAGAATGAGCACCTAATTAATTACACATAGTAGGTGCCAAATAAATATTTATTAAATTAATATAGTGTGACAAGTAAAGGCCCATAATGCTGTTTCAGAAGGAACAGCAAGAGTAGTTGTCACTTCTAAATTATTAAGGCTAATCTACTTTGAGCCCAGGGGTAGCAGCTCAATTTTTTCTTCTCTTTGAAAAAGTGTTTCCATCTTTACAGCCTGACAAAGTGGTATTGTCACCAATGACTGGACACGTAATATAATAACAAGTACACTACCTTGAACAATCGCAGAAGGTGGTACCAAAATATTACAATATTAACATTAGTCTACAAAATGCCAGGGCCCTATTATTAATCATAATAATCAATACATTCTCAAATGAGTTACTTTCACATAGACAATTACATTGGAGATTTATTATTTTTCTAGCTACTCTGTAAAATGCCTTTACATAAAAACAACAAGAGGCTGCAGTACCAGAATAGTAATAGACAGTGCTATGGTAGTAGAAAAGGTAGAAGTAGGTTAGCTATGAATAAACTATCCTTAATTCTTGCATTTCTCTTCTTGGTTACCAGTGGTAGAGTAAGTTGCATATAAGTGTATATGTGTATACTACTTTAGAAAACACTTCATTAAAACAAGTAAGGGAACTAAATCTTCTTGTAATTGAGGTATGATGAATCACAAAACTGAAAGTCCGCATTATAAAAAAAGATAGTGTTTTTTAACTTCCCTGGTAGTTCATCTAATTTATAAGGTATTGATTATTCACAAATGCATCTTTTTTATAACCCAATTATTTTAAAATTATAAAAAATGGTTTCATAATTGTGAGTTGAGAAAAAGAGAGAAGTGTCCTTTGGTAGCTGAGAAAAATGCTTGAGGGAGGCCCTTTCTCCAGTAAAAAAAAAAAAAAAAAAAAAAAAAGGCCAAAAGAAATAACTAGGGAGAAATGCCTAACAAAAAGAACACTGTATTAGAAGTTCCCTGCCTGTTAATTCTCAGACTTTTGTATGTAAAGGACTAGTAATTCCTTTAATTGAAAGAACCTACATAGGGCTACTAAATTTTTGTTCTGCTAATATATTGGGGTGGCGGCAAAAAAATTTACAAAAATAATGCCTCTTTTAATCATACAAAAGAATGACTACATCAATCACATAAAAAATGAATATTTCAACATGAAAATAAAACAATCCCTTGAAGTAGATATTTTTGAACTCATAAAAATTACTACTTTGTTTTTTTCATTTTGCCACAGACTGGTGAAAACTTTATCATGGTGTTTGGAAAACTGGGAGTTTGGAATCCACTGCTTTAACTTTGGTTAATACTAGCTACCTTGGTGAAAGTTGGAATAAGTGAAAGTTTCCGGGCCTGTGTTTCCTGATTTGCTAAGAGAAAGGCACAATTAGATCAGCAGCAATGAAGCTAGGAACTTTGTCAAAAAAACTTGTCAAAAGAAAAGGGGGTCACACTTTGTGAAACAATCTGTATTTTAGAAATCTGTAATTTTGCAAATTCCTCATGCATAGTGTTCCTTCCCTTTCCCAATTCTAATAAATCTTATAATCAATGTCCAAAGAAATCAGCTGATCATCACACAGACAATTATGTGTTAGAGCTGTTATTTTCTGTGCATGAGCCATTGCCTAGACAAGTGTGTACTTTAGGCTATTTGTTTATCCTTGTTCGCTCAGTTGAATTGTTTCCATTGGTCCTGCCTCTCACAGTAGTTTTCCTTAAATTTGGATGTGGACTTGTCCTCAATAGGACTGTACTGTGATGGCAGAAGTGAACAGAAAAAGTACTGTGTATGCAGAAGAGAATGAAGAGCACCACAGGATGTAAATTTACTGCAAGTGATGCAAACATTCATCACTCAAGGAATGAACCAAGTGATTCTCTTGTAAAATAACAATTAAATGTTTTACAGAGGACCCAAGAATAGAAAACACATGGAAGTAGATAAATCTGTGCAAGTTAATAAATCTTTTGGCCTTGGGTTATTCAAAAGGACTGTCTGTTGGATGCCAACCAGCACAGTTAAAGGCAGAAGGATTTGTCAGTCTTACAGAATAGATCACAGTGTTTTCAAAGCTAGGAAAAGTGAATAACCCATGAATGCTATGCTGAGGACAACTGCTTAGGCGGTAAGCTATCAAAACCTTCCTTACAACTTTCAAAATTAGCTGTGTAACCTCAGGTATATAATTAAATTGGAGTGTGTAGAGAGAGTAGGAGTATAGGGTGGATTATGTAGAAAATATCCCAGTATTCTTTGAAATGCTTTAAGATTACATTTTCAATCACAAAGCTGCTAAAAAGGTTTCAATCAGGAAATGCACTATGAAAGTATCAAGTCATATGCATGATAAATGATGGACAAAGTGATTCAAAAGAATGTTAAAAAGGTTTAAACCGTTGTTTACTGAGGGAATAATATGCCATGGTATAAATATACTCCATTTTTTAAAGAAGTATATATTTTTTCCTTTTCAAATTTTCTTTCTCCTCCAAGAAACCATTACTAAACTGAGATGCCTCTTAAAGCCAATGGGCCAGAACCTGTGAAATAAGTGACTACAAAGAGGTTTAATTCTATAATACTATCCATGAAATTATGATATAAATGATTTAATCCTTTCTCCTTTTTCTCTTTCTTTTGCCTCTCCCTCTAGTTACCCAGCTCACTGTGACCCTTCCCATACCTCTTAACTTGGAGTTTGTAATAGGAGACGTGCTCTTTTTTTCTGTACTATTGAATCAAACAAAAGGGAGAGCTCCTCATGTATCTCTCAAATAACATGAACTTGAGAAAATGGCCAGGTACATCAAAAGGGCATAACCATGGACAGAGTAATATATGAAGAGTTAATTTACCGGAAGAAAAAATTATGGAAGATTTGGGAATGGGCCAAGATGATTACTGGATGTCTTCAATGAAAACTAGGTATTATCGAAAACATACATTTCTAGGTTATCTGACTCTATGGGTTTTGAAGTTTTCTTTGAACAATTTTACAACTCTCTATGTTGTAGAAAACTGGTCATGAGGCAAATGATTCTAGTCCATAATAATGCACAATATACATGTATAGTGGAATGCAATTGATTATTGCCCTGTGGATATTGGCCAGTTTGCATCTATTAAGCAAATGTATTTTGGTATTTCTGAAGGCTTATATATTCATTTGCTTTTTGGATCCTTTCCTGAATTGGTTCTCATAGCTTACTGGTTATCTCATTAATTATTGAGCTAAAAAAACTTTGATATGTGTTCGTTTTGCATTTGTATGAGAGTCAAGATTATAACCTTCTTAAAAATAATTACCATTTAATCGGTTTAAAAAAATTTTTAAGCTAGAAATTTTTCTTTTAAAAATATGTGTTTTCATAGAATAATCCAATAATTAGACTAGGAAGGTACTGGAATATTAGGCTTTTCTTAATCACTTAATCATTGCTTGAATTTGTACGGTATCAATGATAGCCCAAAATGATTTGGTAGAACTCTGTAGCTTGGAATTACTGATCACATAGCAACTAGCACTGACCTGGCTGTGCTACAGTTGAAATTGTCTTTGCAAAGATTATCGTAGCAGGATGAATCTAACACAGCTGATGTCATCTTGCTTCTAACCCCCCAAACTATCTGTCCTTGCTCATTCCTTGGCATTGGCCAAGCTAACTATGAGAGGAATTTAGCTTATGGCTTAACTTTAAAGCAATGATGACAATAGCCTCTTCCCCAGACTAACTCCTTTCTTGTTCGGGAATTATGGTAAGGGCCTGAATTCTGCCAGCCTATAAGCATAGTTAACTGATAATCAGCCATTGTTCTCTAGCTTGCTTACTGCTCAGGAATCATGTAGCCAGAGGTCACAAGATTTGAAACTTTCCTAATTGCTCCTATAAATCACATCACTATTATCAAAATCTAAGACTTGTCTTTGAGATATTTTTCAGACTTTTGAATTCAGGTGGACCAACTGATGCCACCCAGATCAGTGATTCACACAAACGAACGGACCCAACTGGTCCTGTGATCCCCACACAGACACTGACTCAGCTTCCAAAGACAGTTTGAATCTCCTATGATTTCATCCCCAACCAATCAGAGAAACCCATTTCCTAGCCCCCTGCCCACCAAATTATCCTTACAAACCATAGCCTTTGTGATCTCAGGAAGGCAAATTTGAGAAATATCTCCCACTCTACTGCTGAGCTGCTTTGCGATAATTAAATCCTTTCTCTGCTGCAACAGTGTTGTCTTAGTGTATTGGCTTTATCTGTGCAGCAGGCAAGAAGAACCCATTGGGCTGTAACACAGGACTAAAATTCTTGGTTATTTTACATGCATGCAAGAGTACAGCTGGGCCTGATGACCTGCTCATTTGGGGACTAACAAGTTGTCTTAGTCTGTTTTCTGTTGCTATAATAGAATAACCACAGACTGGGTAATTTATAAAGAAAAGAAGTTTATTTGGCAAATGATTCTGAATGCTGGGAAGTCCAAGAGCATGGCACCAGCATCAGATGAGGGTCATCCCATTGTGGAAGGCTGAAAGGTAAAAAGGCAAGAGAAGATGAGAGAGGGCAGTATGGAGAGGAAAAGGAGGCCAAACTCCTACCATAACCAGCCCACTCCCATGATAACAGCATTAATCCATTCCTGAGGGCAGAGCCCTCATAGCCCAATCACCTCCAAAGCCCTACCTCTTAACATTGTTACAGTGGCAATCAAGTTTCCAACACGTAAACTTTTGGAGGGCACATTCAAACTGTAACACAATCTAGCCCTGGAAACGTTTGGAAACAACTAAGAGAATATGTAGTGCCAACAGTCCCTAGAATTTCTAAAGTACTTTCTTATATATTTAATATATTAAATTTGAATTCCTCAGCATTGAGAGAAGGGTGGGTGAAATGAAGATGAACTGTGACTCAGAAGAGAAGACTCCCTTTCTTTAGCAGTGTCTGAGACTTCCAAAAAGCTTTTGGGCTTTCCCCAGGTGCTTCCCTGGACCACAACATCACCTGTGTAGTGGGAGATAGAGGCTGTAAACCTCCAAGAATATTTCACAACTACAATAACCTCTTGTGAAACTGTATTGACTCAATAAATAAATGTTGAATAAATAAATCTCTGGTCAATCCTCTTCCCATCTTAGGTAATAAGAAATTTTTAAAATTAAAAGCTAAAATACTTGAATATTTTGTGTCCTTTTAGAACTTAAGATAATGTCAATAAAGAAAAAATATGACATTGTCAAAGATGATAAGGAGGACTGTTCAAGAAGGACTACTGCAGTGGGGGTTTTGTAGTAGTAGAGAGAGAACGTGTTTAACTCCAAATACCAGGACAAGTGGGAATTTATAGCCAAGGAGCAGAGTGGATGTCAGTGGATGGAAAATTACTAAGAGGAAAGATCAGGAATAAGGGGGGCCCCTACTTAAACTGACCTGACAGGATTCTTGGTGAAGGCAGGCCAGAGTGATAAGATATGGAGGATGATGGGGGTAGGTTGGGCAAGATGAGGAATTTTATCACATATCAAGACTAGGGGATTCTCGCTATACTGACTCAGCAGGATTCTTACTAAAACTGGACCAAGTAGGTCAAGGACAGAGTCCAAGGTCAGGGCCTGAAGACAGTTCAGAGGAGTCTGACTCAAGTTCAGTCAAGGAGATAGTCTTTGCCAGTGTTGTCTAACACAACTTTCTGTGCTGACAGAAATACTACATATGTGTGCATCTCCAGTGAGACAGCCAGCAGCCACTTTTGGCTATTGAGTTCTTGCAATTTGACTAGTCAAATCAAGGAACTTAACTTTTAATTTGATTAATCAAATAGTCACATGTGGCTAGTGCCTACTGCATTAAACAGTGCAGACACAGCTAGAAGTAGGCTAAACAGATCAACTTTTCCTAACATTGGTTCTTGACCAAAGAGCCCATAATTCAAGTGTTTAAAACAAAAGCAGAGAAAAATTAGTAGCATTAATCCCACAAAACATGTGTCCTTAGCTAAGATATTTTTATTTAAAACCAAATTCCGTGTCTTCAGGAGATCTCAAATGATAAAGAGGCTCCATTTGGAATTCGAAAGGCTTTTGGTTAAAAGCCTGGGGAAAGCAAAATCAATCAATGCCAACAAAACCCAGTGAGCTGGCAGGTCCCCAGCCCTCCTGGAAATAAGATTTGGGCTTTCCATAAAATGTAATGAATAATTCTCTTTGGCATAATTGGGGAGAATTTGTACTTGCCAATGAATGACTTCCTTTGGATTAATGTCAGGAGAGCTAAACAAGTGACACACAAGCCCTAAGACAAAACTCAGCAAGTAGTTTCAGAGAGACGGGTAAAAAGTCATCATCAATCAAGGTTGCATGTGGCCCAAGGCCATTGTGGAACGAAGCCAGGCATTAATGGTCTTAACTTACCCATTAATGCTTTAAGAAATCCCTACTGTTTGATCTCTTCCCTAGACAGTGGGCTTGCCTGTTTACAAGACTGTGGAATATTTATGCTGGAAACACCTGGTAAGGCCTCCCCCCATTTTGTAGGTGAGAAAAGAGTATTTTTTTTTCGCTTTTTTTTGGGACGGGGTCTCACTCTGTCGCCCAGGCTGGAGTGCAGTGGAGAAAAGAGTATTTTTACTGAACAATTTCTTGTACAAAAAGGATATTTAATGAGCTAAGGACTTACATATTAATGCAATACTTAGAATTGCATTCACTCCATTCATTCATTCAACAAATATGTATTCTTGCCAGCTATGTGCCAGCCCCTGAGCTAGATGCTAGGGATACAGAAAAAACAGGATGAAAAAAGCAACCCACTTTTGTGGTATTTTTCATCTACTAGGTCTACATTGTTCAAGGAGATATTCAGTTTTTCATGCAGAATTTAAAAACATATTACAGTTTCTAATTTTTTATTATTAAAATGTTTTCGTGTAATAAAATTTTAAAAGTTGGCTGTGTCCCTGAAAGTCTAAAAATACTCAGATATAAAGTTGCTCCCCAATTGTTTTGCTAATAAACAGAGTTGTAGCCTGACTCATCCTCTAATCATTCATGTGTTAAAGTCACACTTCAGGTGAAGCCCATCTCTACTAAAAATACAAAAATTAGCCGGGCGTGGTGGCAGGTGTCTAATCCCAGCTACTCTGGAGGCTGAGGCAGGAGAACTGTTTGAACCCAGGAGGCGGAGGTTGCAGTGAGCTGAGACTGCGCCACTGCACTGCAGCCTGGGCAACAGAGCGAGACTCTGTCTCAAATAATAATAATAATAATAATAATAATAATAATAATAATAATAATAATAATAAAGTGACACTTCGTTGTACCCTGAAGGGCTGGGAAATCACGTAAAATTTTCAGAGAAGTTACTAGAACACACACTTAAAATTCACACAGACTTTTAGAGCATTCAAAGACAGTTTTAAACTTATCTTGATAATGAACAGTCAGAACTGGAAACATGTTATTATAATATAATGATATCTTAATACAGGACAGCAGGATATAGGGCTGTTAGTCATACGTACACATCAAAGCCACCCATATTAAATGGTATTTGTATTATATTTGTAGCTTGTTTTTGTCCTTTTTTGCTTTTTTGGATTCTGTGTCTCTCTCCACTACAATGTCAGCCTCACAACTGTTATTTTACTCCTTTAGCTTTAACTTCTTGCTGTACTTTATAACAGTGGCCCCCAACCTTTTGGGCACCAGGGACAGGTTTCGTGGGAGACAATTTTTCAATAGACAGGGGTGAGGGGATGGTTTGGGGATGAAACTGCTCCACCTCAGATCATCAGGCATTAGTTAGATTCTCATGAGGAGTGCACAACCTAGATCCCTCACATGCACAGTTGACAATAGGGTTTAGGCTCCTATGAGAATCTAATGCTGCTGCTGGTCTGACAGGAGGTGGAGCTCGGGTTGGTAATTCTCGCTTGCCCACCATTCACCTCCTACTGTATGGCCTGGTTCCTAACAGGTCACTGACCAGTACTGGTCCATGGCCCAGGGATTGGGGACCTCTGCTTTATAAGATCAGGTATGAGGTTTGAGAACATCCCTAAACTCTCTTGAGGTGAAATGTATAGGTTCACTTTGCTGCAGTAGCTACTGAAGCCATGCAGATACACTTTTATCTTGGCCAATAACCATAATTTTCTCAAGATCTGAGGGCCCTTTTGGTAAGATGAATTAGGCTAATGGGATTCTGACACCAATGCAAATAAGGAAGAATACTAATATTAACTTGAATCTCATGAAATTGTCATTTTTATAAGTCAAAGTGGTCAAATATTGGCAACCTCATATGCCTCAATCTGCTACTTACTAAGCATTAGCTGTGTCCCAAGCTGAAGATGAGAACTTTCATATGCTGTTTTGCTACTTTATATTTCATAGAGTTATTATGATGTTTTTAAAAATGTATACTAATTTAGATATCTGGAAAAAAATCTTTATTATTTCCTCTAAGAATTCTTTTTTTTAGAAAAAAACTTGTGGTAGAAATGCTAGAAATTGACAGAAGAAATCTCTAACTGATATGGAACACCAACCTAAGTTAAGTGGCTCTTTCTTAATCACAAAAATACTTGTGGCTGACACTTATTTTACCCTGGGGAAATTAAGTTATGTACGTTACTTTATAAACAGTCTTTTTCAGGACTATAGACTGTGGTGAAAGTCAAAGTAACAAAGAATGTGTCAAAAGTAATTTTACTGTTTTGTTTTTTAAAGCTCCCATAAACTTAAAAAAATTTCCCTGACATTGACTAACACTGTGCTAAAGCTATCTGAAAATACCTGCCTGTTAATTCTATTTATAAACCTGCCACACACATTGTAATAGAGGTATTTCTAAAAGAAACTTTGGTTTCCTGTTCCTGTTCATCAGTGTGAATGACTGAAAAGACAACTTATAATTTTTATTGCAGTGTGGGCAAACAACTAAAACATAAGTAGATTTTAAAAAGGCTCTATCAAAGTATTCTAGTTACATTTGCTTGTAATTTTCAGGACAACATTTATAATATAGTAACAGCTTTAGGAAGTTATGTAGAAAGATGTGTCAAGGAAATCAGCCAATGTTAATGTTGGTGTAGGTGAAAAAAAGTAGGGGAAATATTGTAGTTCTTCACAAGGCACTTAAAATAGTAAATCGACCACTCTTATTTTCGGAGATCTCGAGAGAAATGGATTTAATTTATTTTTCTGAATCAAATCCAAGTTTAACAGTCCTCACTAACAGGAAACTGTCTCTTATCAAGCTGCTTACATAGCAGCTTAAAGCTTTTCCCATCATTGGACAGGTAGAATGGGGAGTGTAATTAATGGATCTTACATTGTGAGCAATAGCATTCACTGCCCTGGTATAGTTAGGATGTGTCCCTCTCCTTAGGTAACCACTGAAAGTTCTCAGAATAGTCATGATGAAATGCAGGCAAATATGTTGGAGTCTTTTTGTTTTTTAACTTCTGATTTGCTTCTTGTCTTAAGCACTACCAAAAGTTAAAGTTAGTTGTGTCAGATAAACTTCAGAGAAATATATATATATACATATATATACACACATATACATATATATGTGTATATATGTATATGTATATATGCATGTGTGTGTGTGTGTGTGTGTGTGTGTGTATATATATATATATATATATATATATATAGAGAGAGAGAGAGAGAGAGAGAGAGAGAGAGAGAGAGAGAGTCTCAAGATACTGCCCAGGCTGGAATACAATGGCTATTCAAGCAATTTTCCTGCCTCATCTTCCTGAGCAGCTGATACTATAGGTACACTCCACTGCACTTGAATTTCAGAGAATATTTTAATGACTCCAAGGTATGTGTCAGAGACTGTCATGGAGATAAGACATGTCCATAAATGAATTAGAATAAAATGAAACAATTCTCTTGACTTCACTTTTTAAAAATACAGACAATTAGCCCTGCAGAGAATGACTACATGATGGACATCGGGTTGCCATGAGCATCATGGATTTTACTCCATAAGAGATCTATACAGCTATATTTGAATATACAATTTTAAAATCCCAATAAGAAAAGCAGTAAGAGGCAAAGCTCAACTTGAGGTAAGTGCAAGGCGGGCTACCCAAATAGGTTGGGATGTACGGTCACATTTCCTCACTTCTAGTATTGCTTGTAGAATTTCATAGGTGAGTGGATGGGAGGTAAAAGATCTAGAGAATTGTTAATAACATTCAGGAATATGATAGAAATATCTAAGTTTCAAAATGAAAGGAGAAGTTCCTCCCATAAAATATATCTTTGACCTCAATTTTCTCCCCAAGGATCATTCATTCATAGATCTGTGGAGATGGAATAACAGTATAATGAACCAAACTTCCAGACATAATATAAATTATTGCTAATGCTCATAACAAGCCTATAGGTAGATGGAAGCAACCCCATTTGTAGATTAAGAAACTGAAACCTATTAAGTTGAAGATACTATAACATGTTCACACAGTTTATTAAGGAGTGAAGAGGGGATCTGAACCTTCATCTGAAGGCTTCAAGCCTCGTACTATTTCACTATGCCATGCTGCCCATGTTGGATGATATTTAGAGGTCATCAGGTTCACTTCTGTTAATTTAATGCAAGAATTCCCTGTAAAAGACCGACTCTGCTAAATTCCATGTGTGCATGTGCGTGCGCGTGCGCGCACACACACACACGCGCACACACACACACTCACACACAGTCCATCTAGTTTTAAACTGTCTTACTTGCTGGCAAGGTACTCCTTAAGTGTGGATGACATTTAACATATCGGTCCTACTTGTGCCAAATAATTCTACAACAGGTCTGAAACATAAAATATATTTATTGGGATGTTAACCTGTCATTTATTTCATTACAGTACTTAAATGTTTTAACTAAAAAAAAAGTTAAACAGGTAAAACACTAACAGAGCACAAAGGCAAAAGTTATAAAAAGGTATATAGTGAAGATTCTCTTCCCCACATTCCCTTGTCCCTTAGCCAGTTTCCCTCAGTGAAACCAACCAAAGTTATCTTCCAGAGATATCTTATGTATATACAGTATATGTATGGTCCCTTTTCTTACAGAAATAACAACATAATATACATTCGTATACACTGGTTTACATTTTTACTTTCATTTAACAGCATATGTTGGATACTATTTCCTAGCATTACATAAAGAATCTTCTCATTTAAAAAAAATCATCTTTATAACATTTCACTGTATTTATTTAATTAGTCTTCCACCAATGGGAATTTAGATTATCGCAACCTTACTACATAAATAATGCCACAACAAGTAATTTCAGATATATAGCATTTCACAGGTGGGCAATTATCTCCACAGGATAAATTCTGAGAAGTTAAATTGTTGGGTCAAAAGATACAAGTACTTATAATTTTGATAAATACTGTCAAATTGCCCTCTACAGAGGTTATATTATTAAAAACCCTAAAAATATACTCAAACAGAAATAAGAAGGATCTATACAAAAGAACAGATAAAATGCTGCTGAGGAATAAACACAGAAAAGACTAGAATCCTTCATCTTTTAAGTAGTATTCTTAGCAAAATAAGGACAGATTAACATGATAAACAACACCATGAGGGTACATCAGCAAGGTCCAGATGGTGGGAAAATGTACAGGACAGTTGATCAGTTTCAACAAACGTAACATAGAAATAAAGGTTAGTGAGAGCTGGAGAAACAGGGAAACAGATGGCTTAAGAGATTTGAGATGCACGTCAACAAATTACTATGCCTGGGCTTTATTTTACTGTTGAAACAAATTGTAAAAGTCATTTATAGTAATTGAGACAATTGTGGAAAAAGACTAGAATAAGTGGAAATTGATACCTTATTCTTCAATAGGAATATGCAATATTGAAAAGATGTCAGTTCTCCCTATATTATACTAAACATTTAATAAAATTTCAATAAAAATAGAGCTTTAAAAAAATTAGACTAATTTTAAAGTTTATGTAGAAAAAATTAAGAATACCAAAGAAAATTTTGAGGAATAAAAACAGTGATAAGATACTAAAATGCATTAAAAAGCTACAATAATTAAAATAGGGTGGTTCGAAATATAATCTACTATATGATAAAACTTGGCACTTCAAATCAGTGGTTTTAAAAGAGATTATTCAGTAAATAATAACTTGTGTTGGGAGAACAATATATTTTTGTGTTAAATCAATAAAGAAGATTACTTTGTACTTCAAATCAAAATAAATTCCAGAGAGATCAGACTTTAAAAGTAAACAATGAAACTTAAAAGTTCCAGGAAAAAATCATGAACTTTTTTAAACATATACTTTAAAAACATATATTCATATGTAAATATATACATACATATATTTGTACATATCTTTTCCATATAGGCACATACATATATGTGTGCATATATATGCATATGTTATATCTGAATATATAAGGTTGCATCAGAGAAGGCCCAAGTGTGACAAAGACCTAGGCATCATTAAAAAAAAAAAAAGTAAACATGCCTATGTTAAAATAAAAATAATCCACAGGAAAAAAAAAAACATGTAACTACAGTCAAGAGACAAGTGAAAAACTGAAAAATCTTAAATCACAGACAAAAGAATAATTTTCCTACTCTACAAAGGACTTTTATAAATTAAAAAAATCAACCAAAATTCTATAGAAAAACAGGCAAAGGATATGAATACATCATAAAAAAGATATTACAAATGGCTTTTAAACAGGTAAAAACATGGTCAAACTTTTCAATAATTATTAATTAAAATAAACTACACTGAGGTACCATTAGTCACTTAACAGACTGATAAAAATATTAAGGGTCACACTCTTAATATTAGAGAATGACTCTAAGGCATGACTTGTAAAAAAATGAACTGGGACAGAAAAGCAGTCACCTCTTAAAAGTTGTAGAATATGTCTATAATCTTTAGGGCTGGGATTTTATGGTTCTTTCTTACTTATACAAAGGTCACAATATTAGATGATTTCTCTTATCCAGAATGCATCTGATAAACTAGAATAAGCACAAACTTTAAGATCTTTAAATAGTCAAAAATAAGAATCCATAAAGTTAAATATTTTGTATCAAAGTCTGTATAGTTAACTCGGAGGGGCAGAAGTATGTAATCCCTACCCTAGAATGTTTAATTTTATTTTATGTATGATCTTAAAATACATGCATGTTTTGTTTTGGCTTCCTGTCGTTGGCAATTAAAAGAACAAAATTAGGGCCAGGCATGGTGGCTCATGCCTGTAATCCCAGCACTTTGAGAGGCCAAGGCGGGTGGATCACAAGGTCAAGAGATTGAGACCATCCTGGCCAACATGGTGAAACCCCGTTTCTACTAAAAATACAAAAATTAGCTGGGCATGGTGGTGTGCACCTGTAGTCCCAGCTACTCGGGAGGCTGAGGCAGGAGAACTCTCTGAACCTGGGAGGCAGAGGTTGCAGTGAGCTGAGATCATGCCACTGCACTCCAGCCTGGTGACAGAGCCACACTCCATCTCAAAACAAACAAACAAACAAACAAACAAACAAAAGAACAAAATTAGAGGGAGGGGCTCCTGGAGACAGGCATACTGGCTTTAGGAAGAAGCCATAAAAAAAGCTGGTCTGCAGCAAATGAAAAACTTGGCAGACCTCAAATAAACCCTTAAAGTCTAGGACCTTTACCATAAGCATATTTCCTATGCGGATCATGGTATTCCTGCAGCAGCCAGTGCTGGATACTCATGATGATGCCCTTCAACCATCTCAGAAATAGTAACCTATTCTATTCAGTAGGATCTTCAGGGATGTGCATAATACGTTAGAGAAATTCCATAAGCCATCTGAAACACAATATTGGAATATTCAACAGGATACATTTCAGTTTTCTAGAAAACTCAGATACACAGAAGAACAACTTTCTTTGTGGCTGTAGCTAGCTATATTGCTATAGTGTAAAACACAAATAATGCATGATCACTGATGTGCTTTTGTTTTTAACCCACAAGTCAGATTTTTCAGTCTTCTTCAGTTTTGAATTGAGTACAGGCATACCTCAGCGATATTGCTGGTCTGGATCCAGGTCGCCACAATAAAGTTAATAACACAATAAAGTGAGTTATATGAACTTTTTGGTTTTCCACTGTATATAAAAGTTATGCTTACACTCTACTGTAATCCATTAAGTGTGCAATAGCATTATGTCTAAAAAAATAAGGCACATACCTTAATGTAAAAATACTTTATTGCTGAAAAATGCTAATGATCATCTCAGCCATCAGCAAGTCATAAGCTTTTCATTGGTGGAGGGTCTTACCTTGATGTTGATGGCTGCTCACTGATAAGGCTGGCGGTTGCTGAAGGTTTGGGTGGTTGTAGCAATATCTTAAAATAAGACAACAGTGAAGTTTGCCACATCTATGGACTCTCACAAAATATTTCTTCTGTATCATGCAATGTTGTTTGATAGCATTTTACCCATAGTAGAACTTCTTTCAAAATTGGATTCAGTCCTCTCAAACCCTACCATTGCTTTATCAACTGAGTTTTTGTAATAGTCTAAATTCTTTCTTGTAATTTCAACAATGTTCACAGCATCTTCACCAGTAGATTCCACCTCCAAAAAAACACTTCCTTTGCTCATCCATAAGAAGCAATGCCTCATCCCTTCAAATTTGATCATGAGATTGCAGAAATTCAGTTATTATCTTCAGGCTCCAATTCGAGTTCTCTTGTTACTTCTTCCATATCCACAGTTACTTCCTCCACTGAAGACTTCAATGAACCCCTCAAAATCATCCATGAGGGTTGGAATCAATTTCTTCCAAACTCTCTTTAATGTTGACACTTTAACTTTCTCCCGTGAATCAAAAATTTTCTTTACAAAAAAGATAACATTTTTTCCAAATGGCATCACTAAATGATGCCATTCTAGTGAATCCTTTCCAGAAAAATTTCAATTTACTTTGCCCAGATCTAAGAGAGGAATCACTATCTATGGCTCTATAAACATACAAAATATATTTTTAAATAATAAGAATTGAAAGTCAAAATTACTCCTTGATCCATGGGCTGCAGAGTGGATTCCAGGTTAGTAGGCATGAAGACAACATTAATCTCCATGTACATTTCCATC
Source organism: Homo sapiens (assembly GCF_000001405.40). NCBI lineage: Eukaryota > Metazoa > Chordata > Mammalia > Primates > Hominidae > Homo > Homo sapiens. The sequence continues at coordinate 167,767,396 of NC_000003.12, read as the reverse complement.
AGAGCTCTTGGGTGATCAGATACACTGTCAACGAGCAGTAATATTTTGAAAGGAACCTGTTTTTCCAAGCAGTAGGTCTCAACAGTGAGCTTAAAATAACCACTAAGTCATGCTGCAAAACAGATGTGCTGTCATTCAGGTTGTGTTGTTCCATTTGTAGAGCACAGGCAGAGTAGATTTAGCATAATTCTTAAGTGCCCTAAGATTATCCAAATGGTAAATGAGCATTGGCTCCAACTTAAAATCACCAGCTGCATTTAGCCCATAATGAGAGTCAGCCTGTCCTTTGAAGTTTTAAAACCAGACATTGACTTTATCTCTCCAGCTATGAAAGTCCTAGATGGCACTGTCTTACAGTATAAGGGTGTTTCATCGACAGTGAAAATATGTTGTTTAGTGTAGCCACCTTCATCAGTCATCTTAGCTAGATCTTCTGGATAACTTGCTGCAGCTTCTCCATCAGCACTTGCTGCTTCTCCATACGCTTTTATGTTACGGAGATGGCTTCCTTTCTTAAACCTCATGAACCAATCTCTCTGCTGGCTTCAATCTTTTCTTCTGAAACCTCTTCACTTCTCTCAGCCTTCATAGAATTTAGGAGTTAGGCTATTGCTCTGGATTAGGCTTTAATTTAAAGGAATTTTATGGCTGGTTTGATCTATCTAGACCACTAAAACTTTCTCCATATCAGCAATAGGCCTGTTTAACCTTCTATCATCCATGTGCTCACTGGAGTGGCATTTTTAATTAACTGACTTCAGGATTTTTTCTTTGCATTCACGACTTGGCTTGCTCCTTGGCACAGGAGGCCGAGCTTTTGGCCTATCTCAGCTTTTAACATGCCTTCCTCACTGATATGGTTTGGCTCTGTGTCCCCACCCAAATCTCAAGTTGTAGCACCCGTAATTCCCACGTGTTGTGGGAGAGACCCAGTGGGAGATAATTGAATCAGGGGTGTGTGTCTTTCTTAGGCTGTTCTCATGATAGTGAATAAATCTCAAGGGATCTGATGGTTTTAAAAATGGGAGTTCCCCTGCACAAGCTCTCTCTCTCTTTGCCTGCTGCCATCCATATAAGATGTGAGTTGCTCCCCTTGCCTTCTGCCATGATTGTGAAGCCTCTCCAGTCATGTGGGACTGGAAGTCCATTAAATCTTTTTTTTTTTTTTTTTTAGGTAAATTGCCCAGTCTTGGGTACGTATTTATCAGCAGCATGAAAATGAACTAATACAGTAAATTGGTACCAGTAGGGTGGTGCATTGCTGAAAAGATACCCACAAATGTGGAAGCGACTTTGGAACTGGGTAACAGGCAGAGGTTGGAAAAGTTTGGAGGGCTCAGAAGAAGACAGGGAAGTGTGGGAAATTTTGGAGCTTCCTAGAGACTTGTTGAATTGCTTTGACAAAAATGCTGATAGTGATATGAACAATAAGGTCCAGGCTGGGGTGGTCTCAGATGGAGATGAGCTTATTGGGAACTGCAGCAAAGGTGACTCTTGTTATGTTTTAGCAAAGAGACTGGCAGCATTTTGCCCCTGCCCTAGAGATCTGTGGAACTTTGAACTTGACAGAGATGATTTAGGGTATCTGGCAGAGGAAATTTCTAAGCAGCAAAGCATTCAAAAATTGACTTGGGTGCTGTTAAAGGCATTGAGTTTTATAAGAGAAGTAGAGCATAAAAGTTCAGAAAATTTGCAGCCTGACAATGCTATAGAAAAGAAAATTCTATTTTTTGAGGAGAAATTCAAGCCAGCTGAAGAAATCTGCATAAGTAACAAGGAGCTGAATGTTATCCCCAAGACAATAGGGAAAATGTCTCCAGGACATGTCAGAGACTTCTGTGGCAGCTCCTCCCATTACAGGCCCAGAGGCCTAGGAGGAAAAAGTGGTTTCATGGGCTGGGCCCAGGAACCCCGTGCTGTGTGCAGCCTGGGGACTTGGTGCACTGCGTCCTAGCCACTCCAGCTGTGGCTGAAAGGGGACAATGTAGAGCTTGGGCTGTGGCTTCAGAGGGTGCAAGCTTCAAGCCTTGGCAGCTACCATATGGTGTTGAGCCTGTGAGTGCACAGAAGTCAAGAATTGAGATTTGGGAACCTCCACCTAGATTTCAGAAGATGTATGCAAACGCCTGATTGCCCAGGCAGAAGTTTGCTGCAGGGGTGGGACTCTCATGCAGTACCTCTGCTAGGGTAATGTGGAAGAGAAATGTGGGGTTGGAGCCTCCACACAGAGTCCCTACTGGAGCACTGTCTAGTGGATATGTGAGGAGAGGGCCACTGTCCACCAGACCCCAGAATGGTAGATGCACTGATAGCTTGCACTGTGTGCCTGGAAAAGCCACAGACACTCAATGCTAGCTTGTGAAGGCAGCTAGGAGGGAGGGTGTACCCTGCAAAGTCACAGGGGTGGAGCTGCCCAAGACAATGAGAACCTACCTCTTGCATCAGTGTGACCTGGATGTGAAACATGAAGTCAAAGGAGATCATTTTGGAGCTTTAAGATTTGACTGCCCTGCTGGATTTCAGACTTGCATGGTTCCTTTAGCCCCTTTGTTTTGGCCAATTTCTCCCATTTGCAACGGCTGTATTTATGCAATGCCTGTACCCCCATTGTATCTATGAAGCAACTAACCTGCTTTTGATTTTACAAGCTCATAGGTAGAAGGGACTTGCCTTGTCTCAGATGAGACTGTGGATTGTGGACTTTGGAGTTAATGCTGAAATGAGTTAAGACTTTGAAGGACTGTTGTGAAGACATGATTAGTTTTGAAATGTTAGGATGTCAGATTTGGGAGGAGCCAGAAGTGGAATAACATGGTATGGCTGTGTCCCCACCCAAATCTCATCTTGAATTCCCATGTGTTGTGGGAGGGACCCAGTAGGAGGTAATTGCACCATGGGGGCAAGTCTTTCCAATGCTGTTCTCATGATAGTGAACATGTGTCATGAGATCTGATAGTTTTAAAAAGAGGAGTTCCCCTGCACAAGCTCTCTCTCTCTGCCTGCTGCCATCCATGTAAGATATGACTTGCTCCTCCTTGCCTTCCACCATGATTGTGAGGCCTCCCCAGCCACGTGGAACTGTAAGTCCATTAAACCCTTTTCCCTGTATAAATTTGGGTATGAATTGATCAGCAGCGTGAAAATAGACTAATACAAATGTGTTTGGCTTAATAATCACAGCAGTTAGCACCATCTGTTGATTGCTGTCCTCAGTGCCTGTGGCAGGAAGGCTCTCTGTGGTCAGTTTTCTTTTTGGTTGTGGCTCTCTTGCTGTTCCTTACTTTTTAGCCATTATAATTGATGCAATTTAAAAATTATTTAAGTGTTTTTTGCAATAAAGATACCAGGAAACAAAAGGTGTCCTTGGGGAGTGAGTTAAGATTTAGATCCTAGTATAATTCAATAGTGTGTGCTCTCTAAAGATCATTAGTATTATTAATGTGAGGCAAAAGTTCTAGATTAAATAGCTTTTGGGAGAATATAATTTATTCAGAATGACATGACTTTAAAGTGTTTTCATAACCTATTATTAAAAAGAGAGACAATACAACTATTTCTCAAACCTGGCACTTCTGAGTGTGTGGTCTGGTGATTGCTACTTCAGAATTTCCTAGGAGATGGTTAAAATCCAGTTTGGGGGTTACATCACCAAACTCTTGAAAAAGAAATTCTACATATTGACCTCAGTTGCCTGTATTTTTAACGGATATTTCAGGTGATTGTTAGACACACTCAAGTGTGGAAAACGAGCTGGTAGAATACCAACTGGGATATGCCTGTCAGTAAAATCGTGGTATAGCAGCCTGAGCAACATGTTGGAACTGCGTCTCCACCAAAGATACAAGATAAATTAGCTGGGCGTGGTGGTGCACACCTGTGTTTCCAGTTACTTGGGAGGCTGAGGTGAGGGGATTGCTTGAGCCTAGGAGGTGGAGGTTGCAGTGAGCCAAGATCACACCGCTACACTTGAGCCTGGGTGACAGAGTAAGATCCTGTCTCAACACACACACACACACATACACACACACACACACACACAAAACTGTGGTTGAAATATGACAGTGGTGGCATGAGAGGAATGGGAAACGAGGAAATAATTGAGCAATAATTACAAGCCAGACCACTTATTCCTTTGCAATCTACTAGCTGTGATTTTTATCTTTTTTTTCTAGCATTATTGCCTAACATCAATTTGCTCCCTAGACTGCAAGCTCCATGAGGAACAGAAACCACATCCGACCCACTTAGGACTACCAGGACCTAGCCCACTGCTTGGCCCAAGTCTGCACTCAATGTTTGCTGAATGAATGATTTAGGTATATTTTCCCTACTTACACATGAGCCAACTGAGACCTGGGGACTTTGGGTAGATTACCTAAAATGACACAGCTGAAAAATAGTAAGCAGAGAATCAATCAGGTCTGGCTCCAAAGTCCAGACCCCTTCCTTCCCAACATCCCCTCCTTGAATTGAATGTCACCGGGCATTCAATTTGTTCGTAAAGGAGGCTTCTATCTACTTTGCCTGTTAAACATTCAAGTCTTCAAAAACCTCTGTAAGGAATTTTATTTAGAAAATAAGTCATGTAGAATATTAGAATGTGATAAATATCCTGGAAAAAAAAAACCTCAGTGAAAGGGGATAAGAAAGTAAGGAGGTGAGAGGGAGTATCGCAATTTTAAATAAAAAGATTAGGAAGCTTCACTGAATAGGTGATTTTTGAACAAAGGTTTCAAGGAGGAAGGTGAAGAAGCTAAACTCTGGATATCTAGGGTCAGAAGCCAGGGATTAGCAAGTGCAAATGCTGAGGAATGAGTCTGGTTAATCCACAGATCAGCAAGAAGCCAATACAGGTGGAATGGGGAGGCTGAGGTGGAGAGTGAAACTGAAAGCCTCATTAGACTGAGTTAAGGAAGAATGGGGAACAAAAATTTAGAAACTGAGCAAAGAAAACTCTTGAAGAACAGTAGCTGGGTGGAGAAGGGAGTAGTCAAGAAAGAGTTTTCTTCGTTTTCTAGTTTGTTTAAGACAGGAGAAAAAACAGCACGTTTGTTTCCTAGGGGTAATGATCTAGGGGAGGGGGAAGTTGATTATTTGGAGGAGAAGGGCACTGCAGGAGTGGTATCATGAGGAGAGGAGAGGGAATGAAGTCTAGAACACAAGCAGAGGCATTGACCTTATAGAGAAGCACCGACAACGTATCTATAGAAACAGGAGAAAAGGTAAAGTACATGGGTACAGATGCTTTTGGGTGGAAACAAGTGGTAGTGAGTGTGGAAGTTTTCTGAAGGTTTCCCTTTTCTCTGTGAAATAGGACATGGGGTCCTTCATCGAGACCAAGGGTGGAAGGAGGTGCTGGAGAACCTGTCTTAAGAACGTTTTTCATGGCATTCTACTTATAGGGAAAGTACCATACTAGGTATTTCTGCTTAAACATATGGAAATATCTTAAGCACAGACTCCTGCCAAGGTAGTATTACTCATCTTTGCTTAGAATTAGTTTGGAAAATAAATTGTACAAGTAATGAATTTTGAAAAATAAATAGAGATTGAAAACCTTCTCCTCTGTTCCCATTTGTGTTGCAAATTTATTCTCCCCAAGTTATTTCATGTTCTGAATGTCACTGAGAAATTTGGTAGATTGCTGAGCTGCACCCCAGAAGTGAGTTTCTAACTATAATTTAATTAGAAGGGTCATAACTACGTTTTACCATATGGGGCTGCCAGATGTAATCAATGCAATATAAGTTTGAAGAAGACATTATTGAGTGTATTGAAGCACATTTTATAAGCAATGAAAGCTATCATTTATGCAACAGAAATTACTCTAATGTCTTATGGAATTAGGACATGAGTAGACTATACAATGGTTGGAGGGTGGGTTAAGGTAGAATGAGCCTACACAAGTCAGATAATAAAGGTATTACTCACTAGTCCTCCACCCCACCACATCAATCAAATCTTTAAGGCAAACATGGCTTAAAGTTTTTATGCTACTACATTTGATGATACAATTAGAAATTGTTACAATTGGGAATTTAGTTTTATTAACAGAGAATCTGGGCAAAGGCATCAGCCATTAAATAGAGGCCCATAAAGTTTTTAACCTGGGGACAATGAATAGTTTAACAAACTAAAATTTCTATCACCAAACTTTTCATCTTTTTATTTGGGTTCTTCAAGCCTCAAAGCTGTTGCAACCCAGTGGCTAGTCTTGCAATGGATACACTTATAAAAACACCTGCAATCCCAAATGTATTAAGTCTATTGTTCGAAAGTCTGAAGGCAGGCTTGGGGCAAAAGATCACACGTGAGTAAACCATATGAGGCACTGTTTTCTCCCTCTCTAGGTTAGGTTAAAGGTTCTTATATAAGCAAAGAGTTCATTTGTTCTAAGGAACAGCTGTTGTACTAGTGTTAAATCTTGTTCAAATACAGATGCATAAATTCCGCATGTCACCAAAACAATGACACAAGCTCAAGATCCAAAACTACCCACCCTGCAGAAAATAATCATTTGGTTTAACTCTGCCTGAACTTGCCTTTACACTGTTATTTTCAGAACTGTGTGATGAATTGATCTTAAATGTTAATGCCTTACATCTCCCTTGTTGAACTTATCCTCTTTGTAGGCTAATCTGAACACGTTTGAAACCAATGAAGGAAAGGACAAGTTCAGGTAATCTGAATTGCGTAATCTTTGGCCAGATTAGATAAATCCAGAGAGATGTTCCACTTAAACAACCCATAGCGTTTAAACAGGTTAAGTGCTGTAACACAGTTAAGACACACACACACACACACACACACACACACACACACACACACACACACAATTTGGAGCCAGGCTTCCAGAACTGAGGAAATTCTTGTCACCAGCTCACCAATTAAAGCTGAGGCTGCATGTTCAACCCAGAGACATAGTATCAGAGGATTGGAGGTTATATGTATTCTCTGATCAGATGCCTTATGCTGCTGCCCTGGTGCCAGAACAGCATATGATCTCACAGTTCCCAAGCCAGTCAGGAATATATATATATATATATATTTGAAATTAGTTATCCAGCTGGCAGCAGGCACTTCTTTTACCAGAACCATTGCAACTATGGTAACATCTAGTTGATAACCCAGAGGAATTGATGAGACATCATAACTAATTTAAGTTTGCCAGAAGCAGAATTTTAAGCACCATTCCTACTTAGAATGATATTCCTAATTCCTTTCACCTGGCCAACTTTTAATCTTCTTTCAAAGCTCATCTCATTGAAGATGACCCCCAACAAGTCATATCTATTTTCATATATGTACACGTGTTCAAAGGTATGATGAGAAACAGGATATTTGTATAACCTTAAAGTATCCAACCACATGACACTTTTTCACAGATTGGAAACTAAGGACACGTGGCATATATACATACGTACATACATATATGCAGTGTCTTGACTACAGAAATGTCTGTCTCTTGGAATGCTACAGAAATACCTGTCAGAATATGAATAAAAACAAAACTGGATTAAGAGTGAGAAAACTTGGACTTCTATCTACTCACTAATCTGTGTTATTTATGGCTTTTTTTTACTTTAGCTGGAACTCAGTCTCATTCATTACTTCATTTATTTTTATTTTAGTTTCAGGGAGTACATGTGGAGGTTACATGGACATATTGTGTGATGCTGAGTTTTTGGCTTCTAGTGAAAATATCACCCAAATAGTGAACATTGTATCCAACAGGTAGCTTTTCAACACTCACCCCCTTTCACCTTCCCCAGTTTTGGAGTCCCCAGTGTCTATTATTTCCATCTTTATATCCATGTGCACCCAGTGTTTAGCTCTGACTTATAAGTGAGAATATTTGGTATCTGATTTTTTGAGTTATTTTAATTAGGATAATATTAGGCCTCTGGCTACATCCATGTTGCTACGAAGTATATGATTTCATTCTTTTTTATGGCTGCATAGTACTGCATGGCGCATATATATATATATATATATACCACATTTTCTTTATCCAATGTTGATGGACACTTAGGTTCATTCCATGACTTTGCTATTATGAATAGTGCTGTGATAAACATATGAGTAAGGTGTCTTTTTGATAAAATGATTTATTTTCCTTTGGGTAGTAAAAAAAAATCTGTAGTCAGATTGTGGGTAAAATGATAGTTCTATTTTTAGGTCTTTGAGAAATCTCTGGAACTCAAAGTCTATAAAATGGGAACAATATGCCTTCTCTGTCTTTGTAAAGTAGTTATGAGAATGAAATAGTAAAGCCCAGCAGTTTCTGTAGAGAGGAAAATGGAATCTAACAGAACACCTGGCTCTATAATGAGTGGCCTTGGGCAAGTCACTGAAACAACTGGAATCTATTTCCTGTGTCTAATGTGGATCATAAAAACATCTGTATCTCTTAAGCTTCTTTTATAAAGAGCCACTCAAATATAAGAGAGTGTTATAACCTTTGTATTTATTTTTAAAACATTTTAAATTTTAATTTTGAAATAAATTTAGACTTACAAAGAAGTTGAAAAAAAGTAGAGTTCCCATATATCCTTCATTCAGTTTCTCTAAATGTTAATATCTCACTTATAGCTAATGCATAATCATCAAAACCAGGAAATTAACACTGATACAATGTTATTGAGTAATCTATAGACCTCGTTTAAATTTTTTCAATAATGATCTTTTTCTGACCCTGGATTTTATCTAGGATCCCATATTGCATTGAGTTGCCACATGTCCTTAGTCTCCTCCAATCTGTGAAAAAGTGTCATGTGGTTGGATACTTTAAGGTTATACAAATATCCTGTTACTCATCATATCTTTGAACACTAATTTTAATCTGTTAATGATTATCTGCAACAATGATTAATGCCATATTTGACACACTGTGATTTTTCTATTTCCATCATTCTTTCTACATTCATCAATTGGAATTCTACTATAAGAAATAGCTGTCCCTTTGCTCCCATTTACTTATGTATCGAAATTATTTTTTGTGTCAGTAGAGACTCATAGGTATTTATTTTATTCTACGGGCTATAATACATTGCTATCATTACTTATTTTTCAAATTGTCCCAGATTTGTTATGGACTTTTTAGATGGTCCAACTCACATAGATCAATGTCTTGTTAAAAATCAATCCATCCAAAGAAATACCTCTTTAAAAATGTAGCTTGATTAAAATGTAAGCTTAGACAAGAAAAAATGTGTGGGGTATCAGGGGACACAGGGCACCGGATCCACACACCTGCAGGTCCAGAATGAAGACAAAAGACTTAGAAAGATACGGAGACATTCAAAATATGAATCCGTGTAAAGGAATTAATATTACTTCCTGTCTGTTGCATAGGGATTTGTGTTACATAAATCAGAATGCTGAATACCCCTGACATTTATACTCTGGCTGGAGATTTGGTTTTCTGACAATTGTCAAGAAGAACATTTAGGAACATTTATATTTTTCTTTATTTTTTGAGATGGAGTCTCACTTTGTTGCCCCAGCTGGAGTGTAGTGGCGTGATCTCGGCTCACTGCAATCTCCGCCTCCTGGGTTCAAGTGATTCTTCTGCCTCAGCCTCCCGAGTAGCTGGGATTACAGGCGCAGGCCACCAAGCTCAGCTAATTTTTGTATTTGTATTAGAGATGGGATTTTGCCATGTTAGTCAGGCTGGTCTCAAACCCCTGAACTCAAGTGATCTGCCTGCCTCAACCTCCCGAAGTGCTAGGATTATAGGCATGAGCCACCACACCCAGCCACAGTTAGGAACATTTATATCCCTGGTTCATTTGAATATACAGAGGCCAACACGGAGTATGATTACAAGTTCAATGACTATATCTAATAGTGTAATATATATTTTGTGTGTGTGTGTGTGTGTGTGAGAGAGAGAGAGATCTCACTAATTGAGGCTCCTTTAAAAACGAGAATACTTTTTGAAAACAGGTAACATTAACGTTCATTATGATTTGTATAACAGAAATTCCTATGTAACACCAAGGAGATCATATTAATTCCTTTACTCATGTTTGTTTATAAAATCATTTATTAATTCATCATGCAAATTCGTATTTTCAGTGTTTAATACATCCCAAGCACTGCACAAACACCACGGATATAAGCAACCATTATACACTGCCTTCAGTGACCTTGCAGTTTAGTGTGAGGTCCTTTCAAAAGCTGGTCTTAGAAAAAGCTCTAGGCTTCATCAGTAAAACAGGAGGGTTGGTCTTTGATCTTTCAGATTCCTTCCAGCACTAAAGTCATTTGATACTGTGATTAACTAACTTGATTATTTAAAGGTTGCTGTTCAATGTGCCTTTCCCTAAAAATATCCTAATCAGTAATAGATGCACTTTTCTCTCTTTAATAAATCCTTTGTAGCTGTTTTATTACTCACTGAATTTCACAGAATTGATTCCCTACAGGCAGAAAACCTCATTTACATAGAGTCACTAAGTCTATTTTTTACATGGTGGCTTAGACTTGTGACATAACGAAGAGTCAGCTGAGACGCAGAATACATTATTTATAAAGTCTGAAGCAGAAAGTTGGTTGCATATTGTAGATACTTAGATGTTCTGGTCTTCTTTGGATTAATGGAAATCAAATAGCTAATCTAAATAACTGCAGTGGTGGACTAGAAATTGCTTTTATGGCATGACTGCCATAGTCATTACAAGGGGCATATGCTTATATATATTTTTCAAAAAAAAAGATGACTTATCTTTTAACTAATGGCTAGACATGTTTATTTGGAAGTTTAATTACAAAAGCAATTTTAGGGCTGGGTGTTGCGGCTTATGCCTGTAATTCCAGCACTTTGGGAGGCTGAGGTGGGTGGATCACTTGAGTAGGGGAGTTCAAGACCAGCCTGAGTAACATGGTGAAACTCTATCTCTACTAAAAAACAAAAACAAAAACAAAAACAAAGATGAATGTGGTGGTGCATGCCTGTAGTCCCAGCTACTTGGGAGGCTGAGATGGGAGGATGACCTGAGCCTGGGAGGTCAAGGCTGCAGTGAGCTGAGATCACACCACTGTACTCTAGCCTGGGCAAGCAGAGTGAGACATTGTCTCAAAAAATGTGGGGGTTGGGTCAGGATGGTGGGAGAAATTGTAAAATTATGGGAAATAAACACAAAACTTCTTGGAAGGCCTGGGGGTTTACATAGCTTCAGTAAAGTGTTTGACTGAAAGCAGCTGAATTATCTTAAAAGCATAGGGCATGGATACCTAGGAATGTAGAGGAGTTTATCTAAATAACTTGTTTACTCATGTGGTCCTAAAACTAACCTTTGATCATTCGTGGGCAGGATGGCTCTCTGGGGTTGGGGGCAGGGGTCAGGGGGTGGGGAGAGTGACCAGGTTAATTAGCCTCTAGTGGTGCTGACTCAAAGCCTTTGTCATTTAATGTGTGCTGAATAAATGTCGGAGGAGCCAGCTAGTCAGGGTCATGGCTGCTACATCTCTTTCAGTCAGCGGCCTGGTCCCCTAGCCAACTCTTTCACTGAATATCAGTGTCTGAGTACGTTATTCATCCGTCATGCAGCTGGGGTCTGCAGGACGGACCACAGCCAAAAAAAAAAAAAAAAAAAAATCAGCAACACCTACTTGTTTTAATAGCTAATAATATAGGCTTTAGGTTTACAAAGCTAAACTATTTCAGTAGTACCAGAATCTGAGAGATTACAGAAGAAAGTGAAAAACAAATGAAAACAAAGACATTTTTAAAAGACTATGCCATAATACCAAGGTCACATTTTACATTTATTGTAATTTCAAGTATGAACAGTCAGTGATTTTGATCTTCATTTTACAAGGTTCCAGTACCAACCACAGCCTTCTTATGGTTTCCTCTCTCTGAATTGCTTAACCTAAAATAACAAATATTTTTACAAAGTATAGCTCTATCTTAATGGGCCCTTTTGAAGTACTATAAGACCATCATCTATTTCCTTGAAACAAGAACTTATTTTTACCAGTAAGTTCCTTTTAAAATATTGAATCTACCAGTATCCTTGGTCACTTGCCTACTCCAAATCAGGAGTGAATGTGCACTGCTGGTGAAATCTGAAATGACTTTAAAAGGAGGTCCATTTGGAGTGATCGTGATAATGCCATGTGCTTTCTTTCAGAGTTTCTTAATTAGGAAGTGCTTCCAAACTACCATCCTGAAATAGGTCATGGATTAATATGCATGATTCTTTCCCATACAGCTAAACTTAAAAAAATGTAGTTGTGGAGTTATATCTTAATGCTTACAATGAGAGCTATGGCCCAGTAACCTGGTAGGATTGTTGAAAGACTGGAATAAAAGTCAAGAAGGAATGGGATTTGTTGAATGAATGTTTTGATCAGACAGCAGAACAGTTCATTGAGCTGCATGAGGCTGCAGGAAGGAGCTATCAAAGATATCTGTGAACAGCAGGAAAGAAAGAAAGAAGGAAGAGGAGGCCAACTAGGTGGTCAGTTAATAGGGAATGAAAAAGTGCTAGCAGGGATCCAAGAAGCAAGCACCTACTCAGGGTTGGGTAGGACATGGACAAAAATAGCTTGAACCTGAACTCCATGGTGGACACGCAGACCAGCAAAGATTGAGAACTCCTGAAGTGGAAGAAAATGAAAGGATTTACCTGGATGAATCTGGAAATCCTATAGTGTGGCAGTTCTGCTATAACCAAATAATGCAGTTGTATTCAATCAACTTCCCTTCTGGATTATACCTCTAACAGAAGTTTTTCTTCTAGTGGATTTATCTGATTAGTGACACTTCCAGTATGTTCCAAGGACGTGAAAATTCAGATTTTGCACTGTGGATTTCCTTATGGCCAAGTCATAAACATTAATGTTATTCTTTGTTGACATTTAGAATATTCAAATTTGAACAGTGTACATATACTAAAGAAAGCACAGATAATAGAATCTGTAAATTATGAAAATGTATGTGCCACAGAAGTAGGACACTTAAAGTTGCTTATTTTTGTTGTATACAATCAAAATGCTTGTAAACATTTTACAATTATAGATCAATGGAGGGCTTTAAGAGACACTTTCATCTATTCCAGTTGCTGAAGATGCATCTCTGTAGCCCAGGGTCTAGCTGTGTGTAATGTGTGGTTCAATTGGTTGGTGAATTTTCACTTCCCCTATTTCTGGGATTTGTGACAGCCTGTGGTGATTCTGACCTTTATTCCTTTATCCCTCCTGGATTTCATGCCTAATTAACCAGTATAAAAATGAATACAGAGCTCACAAATTCTTAAACTGGATAAAACAAAGGTAAATGTGGCATAACTGCATCTCTTCCAACCAGTTACTGGGAGTATAAATATTTCCCTTGAAAAAGCAGCTTGAAGTAAGGTTAATACATGATTTTGGAGAATAAGAAATCTACTCCTCTCCCCCTTTTAAAAAACATTAAGGGCTAGCAAATGCCTTTAAAATTGAATCCAAGGTAATATATCCAGAGAGACACTCTATCAAGCACACATTCTGATATTTCTTACCAGAAGAGAGACAGTAGCATCACTATATAATTATTTCACAGTTCCTTTTTTAATATACATTCTTTAGCCTAACAACACTGATAGTCTTCTGATATACAGTTCTCCTTTATTAGCTATTATTCTTGTGACATTGGTTCTAGGCAAGATTTAGACATATTTTCCTTAATCTTTGCTTTAGCACACCTGAGGAATATGATATATTCTTCATGAAAAATAGCCAGTCTGTAGTAGGCACTGGACATGAAGTATAAGTTTAGGTAGTTTGAAAAAAGGCCACAGGGGTAAGTTTAAGATACCCACCTCACTGCTCCCCACCCCCAATCTTCATAGGGTCCCAAGGCCTCTGAGAATCACTCTTGTAAAAAATGTGAGAATTATGTTTTGAAAAACCCACTAGGGTTTCTGGCATTATTGAGTACCTGCTATACATTAGATGCTTCCTATATTTTCTTTATTTACCACCCTTATAGTTTCATGAGAAAGGAACTTTGTGAAAGAGGAAACAGTTCATTTACTCAACAAATATTTATTGAACATCCCTAATTATCAAGCACTTTTCTGGGCACTGGGAATAGAGCAGTGCCCTCTACACAAAATAGACAAAATAACTGCTTTGAGAAAGCTTACAATCTAGGGGCTCAGAAAAGTCACCCAAAACAAAGATGGGATTTGAAACCATACCACATTTCCAAAAGCCCCTCACATCCTCCTCTGAACATCTGGCTTTCCTCAAGCATCGACATCCAATATAGACTATACTTTTCATTTCAAGCAGAGAGCATCCACTGTGTACTGGGCCCTGGACATGGAGGTGAAAGCAGCAGACAAGGGCTCTGCCTTCACAGAGCTTACATTAAACGAACACACATGCATTAAAGCACCTAGTTGAAAACTGTGTTAAGTGCAATGAATAAAAAGTAATAGTGTGTCACATAAAAGAATAACAGGGACCTATTTTAGATTAAGGAGAGAATCAGGGAAGGCCTCTCTAAGCAAGTGTTATTTAAGTTGAGACATGAGGATAAATAAGAGTTAAGGAGGGAAGCAGTATTCCAGACAGAGGGAATAATATGAAGGCCTGATGGCAGAAAAGAGCTCTGTGATTAAAGAACTGAAATAATACAATGAACAAAGGAAAAGAAGAGGCTGGCTTATGAGGTAGGGGCTAGGTTATCTAGGCCCTTGTAAGCAGCAAGGATGTTGCATTTTCTCCTAAACACAGTATAATTTATAAAGTTATACAGGAGAGAGTATGGGGAGTCTCAAGCAGAAGCTGAAGAAGAAATTGGGTGGTTATTGTAACAATCCAGGTGAGAGAAGATAGTTGACTATGGGGGTTGCAATGAAGATAGAAAAGGGATAGTTAGATTATGGATAGACTTATTTAAAAAATAAATTGGACAAGACAGAGGTAACAGTAAGGAAGGGCGAGTCAGGATTACTCCCAGGTTTAAACTCAGCCAGCTGGGTAGGTAGGTGGAGCTGTCCTTCATTAAGATGGAGAAGGCTGGAACAAAAGCAGAGAGGGGTGAGATAGGGGATCATGAATTTTGCTTTGGATAGGTAAATCTGAGGTGCCCATGAGACATCCACTTGGAGAGTTAAGAAAGTAGTTAGATAAATAAGGTCAGAGTTCAGAGTGTAGGTCTGGGTTAGAGATACATTTAGGAGTTATGAGCACATTTGGATTAGAGTTTTTGGGGAGTGTGGAGAAGAGGTGCCCTATGGCCAAGCTCTGGGAAACCCAAACACATGCAAGACTTAGGAGGATGAAGAGAGAAAATGACCTTCCTTGAGAGCTCAGGGTCTGGCAGAAAGCAGGAACACAATGCATGTTTATTACTAATCTCAAAACAAACCTGTATTTCAGTTTCTCTTGAAAAACATTTTCCCCATTTGGCATAACTATTGTATTAGGTTGAACCATATAAATTACCTTTTTTTGGTAGGTCAAAAATAGTCAAATGTTGGCAATTTCACAAAGTTTAATTTCATACAACACAATTTGAAACAAAATCCATTTATATTGTGGGACAGTATACAGTTTTAAAATGTCACTTCACACATGAAGGAGAATCACTAATATTGGAGGCTTTATTATCGTACATGAAAAAGATACTAGATACCGTACTGGAAAAGATATTAGAACAAATCATACATAACGCTGCATATGATGTACCAATTAGTTTCATCCTGACAGTTGAGTTGACAGCCTGAAAATGCCATTGACAACCCATCACCATTTGTGTCGATAACCTCAACACTATTCTCTGATAAATCTATATATTTAGCGGAGTAATTTAACACATCTCAAATTTTTCATCTGGCTTAAGAAAAATCTCTTATTTCCTATTCCTTTCCATGTGGAGAAAACATTTAAAGGAAGTTAACAGATACGGTTGACTGCTTAATAATTTAATCTTTGCTTATAGAGACTAAGCTTTGAAAAACTATTCTGATACAGTTTGACTTACTTTGTGTAATTACAGGGCTACCTCATTTTATCAAGTAGACATATTCCAAAAACTATGTTAATAATTCAATAGCATATTTTAAATTTACCAAGGTGCTCATGATTGAAAGTTCTGACAAACTCAGAAGTCTGCAGTTTCTTAGCAGATAATATAAATGTGTGAATTGGTCCAGTATAATGGAGAATAGAGGAGTCTGCGGTAACTGAAGAGGATATTCCTTACCTAAAGAAAATCTTTTTTTTCCTAACATAATAAACTCTGCAAAACATAATTTAGCTGGCAGGAGGTGAGACAGAAAGATTTCAGTCTGTCAAACTGCCAGTTTGAAATGCCTAATTTAAAGTAAGCTTGCCGTGGATTTTCTATTCTTTTTTTAATATTATCATGAAACATTCTCTAGTTTTTGTCTGAAGTTAGAGTTTTTATATATTGATTTTATTATTTTTATAGGGTTTAGATATGTAATTGCAGCTGTCTAATTTTTTAAGAATGCAAGAGAATTCATAGTTGAAGAATGCAAGGTACAATATACAAATACTGTGAAGTAAATATGGACAATTCCATAGAAATACACAAAGTATTCTGGTTACTTCTGAGATCATAATTATATTGCAGAACTATGTTTTGGCTGGAAACAAATGCAAACTAGGTACTGTGTGGTGATACCTGAAATAACCTATATGATTTTCTATGCCCCACTTTCCTCATCTATGAAATGAGAATTATGATAGTACTTGTCTCATACGATTGTCATAAAAATTAAGGGTGATAATGTATGGATGTAAAGATATTAGTGCTTAGGTCACAGTAAAAAGTTCAGTCTCAGAAACAGTGAAGCAGTTCTGGATTTCCTTCTAGACAACACCCACTGCCTCCTGTAAACCTTTCACTTTCTCTTCACATACTAATAATAGCCTTCACATGATACACAAATAAGCATCACGAACACGTGATGGCAAACCCATTGCTCCATGTTGCCTTTTCTATTTCATTAATTTCTATGTGCAGTCATCTTGTTCTTACTTTCCCAAGCTACACTGCATGGCTGAAAAAATATTTCTCATAGAGCTTGCTAAATTCAACCTGGGAAGAAGATATGTTACATAATGTGTAATTAATCATTTCATATGCACATTTCTGAAACAGACATTTCAGTGCTGTCATTTTAGATATTTGGGTAACATATACATGTAGTGACATCCAGAAAAAAAAGCAAAGCTTTGGTTTCTTTAATTTCTCTGAAAATAAGTCATCCCGGCTGGGTGTTTTATCAATAGCTGTGAATTTACTTTTTAAGCACCGAAATTTATTTTTATTTTACCCATTTGCATGAAACTTTAACAAAATATATAATTCACTTAGTTTTTCCAGAAAAGTGGAAATGTAACAATTAATCCTCTTTCTTATGCCTGAAGGTCATTTTTTAAAACTTTCTGGCTCTGTCCTTCATTCACCCAGCCAGTATCTACTGAGCACTACATACTGCCCCACAGCTTATGTCTCTGCACTTCTCTGAGGTCAAGACATGAACCCTTCCGGCACCTATGCTTTCTTAGTTTCTTAGCTTTTTTCCCCTCTCATCTTTTGTTTATATTGAGTCACTGTTAATTTGTCTAAACATATAAACAGCATTCAATAGTAAATTAAACAGTTTATTAACAGTAAACAGGTTCTGCATAAAGGCTAATGGATAAATAAGGTGAATTTCACAGCAAGGAATTTGGCTGGGTTTGTAAGCTTATTTCCTGCATTCTAAGGTGTGTTACAGTGGAAATTCTGGATCCTTTTAATAAATGAGATATTCCTGTTAAAGTTTCTCATTTATAAGTCATTCTAAAAAGAAGAAAAGAGAACACTACTTAAAATATCAGTTGGTGCACTATTAGATTTAAAGTGAGACTGGGTTTATGGTTTTAAGTCATCAGCCTTATAGTCACAATTGTCTTGTATAAAGATAGCAATTACTGTACTGTAGCTTGTCATGTATGGTTAATGGTCCTCAGTGATGGATTATTCATGCCAGGCAGCTAGCTGAACATTATGTTTTAATGATGGTAAAAAGCATAGATGTCTTCATATGTTTTGTGGATGTTGAGAAGGAGTCAAACCAAAAAATAAAATGTTCCCATTAGGGTAAGGTAAGACATAAAAGGAACATTGTATGAGAGTAAACTAGAGCAAAAAAACACAAACAAAAATTTAAGACACAGAAGAGAGGAAATGAGATTCAGTATTTTAATGAAAGTTGACTTCCTTAATCATAAAAGCAAGGGGATAATTTCAAAATAGTGATATATCAATATCTCAGTGAGTAATTTTTAATAACATGAAGCAAACTGAATGTACATAAATATAATCCTTGTAAAGATTTAAATGCTTTACGTTTTCAGCTCATTTACAACGGTTACATTTTGAATTATTACAATTATTCTTTCTTTTCCTGCTGCTTGACTCAAAACTTACTCCTCTTCATCAGTTTCTCCCGTATCCCAAACTAGTGGTAACAAACCCAAATGCCTACAGAGGCCAGGGAGGCTGGGAAAATGACCAAAAAGAGCTCAGTGTAAGACAACAGAGCATGGTACTCATTGTGGAGAACTGGTATTTAGATACAGTTAACACACACACACACACACACACACACACACACACACACACAGAGTAACACACTCTGTCTTACCTGTGTGCTGACTGCTGACCTATTTTGTAATCCCTGAGCTAATTCAGGGACAAAACTAGTTGATTTCATACTCAAATTCCCTCAAATCCGCATCATCAATGCTACCACCTCTGAGACGTTGTCATCTCCATTTCTTCCAAAGTCCATTTTTATCCCTTCCTTATTTTTAATGTTGCATGACTATTTACTTTTTCCCTCTTGAATCAAGATCTGGCACCAAAGGCCATGTTTACAGTTCTTTTTCAGACTGGTTTAGCGACGTTAGTTCTATGTGACTGACATAAATAGGCTCATGGCTATTCAGTCTTCACTATGCATTACACCTTTATCAATATAAATTACCTTCCTTGACCTTAAAGGTTTTGCCTCGAATTCTGCCTTGTCTTATACAAATATAGCTGCCTTACATTTTAAAACTTATTTTTGTCTATTTATTGCTTCATCATCCTTTTACTTTAAACTAGTATTCTTTTGCTTAACTTCCTGTCTTTTAAATATTAAATAGTTTGACTTTTTTTTTCTATCCAGTATGATGGATTTTGTGTTTCACTAATGGACTAAAGCTGTTGATAACTGCAATATATTTGTTTAGTATTTGTCATTCTATCTTAAAGTTCTAGTTTTTTCTTTTTGTTTTGATCACACTTTTTTGTTCCTAAGTATTATATTTTCTGAGTGAAAAATAAGATATAAAGAAGTATTAAGATAAGCTGATATTTCCGCCTCCTTTATTTTTATCTGCTTAAAGTTGCTTAGGCTTTTTCCTTGCCTTCATTTTGAAATTAAAAAAAAAACAACAAAACACAAAAAAACTTTAACAAAGTGTGGGTAGGTCTTAGTTTCTCTTCACTAATTTTTCATGGTGTTCTGTGAGGCCAAGTGATGTAGAATGAATTTTTTATTCTACATTACTTTTTATCTGCTAGTCTGGGTTCCTCATAATTCTATCTTCCATAACTCCTATTTTTAAAAGTTTTAAATATTATATTCACTTAAAAAGCAGGTTTATTAAAATATAGTTCGCATATCATAAAATGTACCCTTTTAAGGTGTATAATCTAGTGTTTTGTTGTTGTTGTTGTTGTTTTGAGACGTAGTCTCGCTCTGTCGCCCAGGCTGGAGTGCAGTGGCAAGATCTCGGCTCACTGCAAGTTCCGCCTCCCGGGTTCACGCCATTCTCCTGCCTCAGCCTCTCGAGTAGCTGGAACCACAGGCGCCCGCTGCCACGCCCAGCTAATTTTCTGTATTTTCAGTAGAAACAGAGTTTCACCGTGTTAGCCAGGATGGTTTCGATCTCCTGACCTCGTGATCCGCCTGCCTCGGCCTCCCAAAGTGCTGGGATTACAGGCTTGAGCCACCGTGCCCGGCCAATCTAGTGGTTTTTAAGAAGTTCATCAAGCTGTGCAGCCATCACCAAGATCTAATTTTAGACCATTTCATCACCCCAGAAAGAAACCCCATAACTATTTGCAGTCACTTCCTATTCCCCTTTGTCCCTTACTAGTAATCTACTTTGTGTCTTTATGGATTTGCCTATTCTAGATATTTCACATAAAATGTGGCCTGCTGTGTTTGGTGTTTTTGCTTAATATGCTTTCAAGGGCCATCCATGCTGTAGTATCAGTACCTCATTCCTTTTAATCGTCAAATAATATTCCACTGGATGGCTATACAACATTGTGTTTATCCATTCATTAACTGACAAACATTGGATTGTTTCCACTTTTATGAATAATGCTGTTATGAACACCTGTGGATGTTTTTGTGTAGACAAACATTTTTTCAACTCTTTTCGGCATATACCTACAGTGGAACTGCTGGGTCATAGGCTAACTCTGTGGCTAATATTTTGAAGAATGGCTAAACTGTTTTCCAAAGTGACAGCATCATTTACAATCTCACCAAAACCTTATGAGTTTCAAAAAATATTATGAGGGTTCAAATATTCCCACATCCTCACCAGTACTTTTTATTGTTACAGGTGTCTGTCTCTTTGACTTTAGTCATCCTAGTTTGTGTGAAGTAGTAGCTCACTGTGGTTTTGATTTGCATTTCCCTAGTGTCTAATAATGCTCTGTATTTATTCATATGCTTCCTGGATTTTTACATCTTGTTTGGAGGAAGAAATGTCTATTCATATCCTTTGCCTACTTTTAATTGCATTGTTTTAAATTGTTGAATTATAAGTTATTTATGAGCTCTGCATATAAGGTTCTTCTCAAATGCCTGATTTGCAAATATTTTCTCCCATTATATGGCTTATCTTTTCAACTCGTGTCCTTTGAAACACAAAAGTTTTAAGTTTGATGAAGTCCAATTTGTTTTTATTATGTCTCTTGTACTTTTGGTGTCATATCTAAGAAACTACTGTATAATGCATGGTAATAATTTACTCCTGTTTTAAGTTTTATAGTTATAGCTCTTACATTTAGGCCTGTAATCCATTTTAAGTAACACTTCTGTATATGGTGTGAGGTAGAGCCCAATTTTATTTTTTTCCATGTAGATATCCAGTTGCCTCGGTATCATGTGTTAAATATCCTTCCCCATTAAACTGTCTCAGCACCCTGTTGAAAATCAATTGACTGAAAATGTAAAGAATTATTTCCTGACTCTGAATTCTGTTCCACTGACACATACATCTGGGTTCCTTGCATTTCTATGTGAGTCCTAAGTTCAACTTGTCAATTGCTGCAAAAAAAGTGGCTGACATTTTGATTCATTAAATCTGCATATTAATTTGGAGAATACTGCCATCCCAACAATATTAAGTCTTTCAACTCATGAACATGAGATACTTTTCAATTTACTTAGGTCTTCTTTAATTTCTTTGTGATGTTTTGTACATCATTTGGTGTTTTTGTTGTAAAATTCTTGCATTTTTGTTAAATTCATTCCTTGGTATTTTATTTCCTTTTTATGCTGTTTTAAGTGGATCTTAAAATTTTGATTTTGGATATTCACTGTTAGTGTATAAAAATACAATTAGTTTCTTTATATCGATCTTCTATCCTGCAACCTTGGTGAACCTGTTTATTAGTTCTAATAGTTTTTCATGTGGATTCTTTAGGATTTTCTATATACAAGACCAATTCATATGTGAATAGAAATTTATTTCTTCCTTTCTAGTATGGGAGCTTTTTATTTTTCTTGCCTAATTTCCCTGGCTAGAACCTTCAATACAGTGTTGAATAAAAGTGTGAGAGCTGACATCCTTGACTTATTCCTGATCTTAAAGGGAAATATTCAGACTTTCACTACCAAATGTTAGCTATGTTTTTTAAAAAAATTATTTATGTTTTCTGTAGATGTACTTACCCCGTGGAGGAAGTTTCTTTTTACTCCTAGTTTGTTAAATGTTTTTATCATGAAAGTGTGTTTTGCCAAATATTTTTCTTCTTCAATTGAGATAATTATGTGTCTTTTATTTCATTGATATAGTATGTAATGCTAATTGATTTTCATGTTAAACCAACCTTTATTCCTGGAATAAAACTTACTGGATCATGGTATATAATTCTTTTGTTGCCAGATTTGGTTGCTAGTATTTTGTTGAGCATTTTTGAGTCTATATTTGAATTTTCTATTTCTTAAGTTGGTCTCAGTAGTTTGTGTCTTTCTAGCAATTTGTTCACTTCATCTAGGTTATCTAATCTTTTGCCATACAATTGTTCATAGTGTTCTCCAACAATACTTTTATTTATGTAAGATTGGTAGTGATGTCTCCTCTTTACTATATTAGGTTCCCCTACCCTTAAATATAATTTTCTTCTAAATTCTGAGAAAGTATCTTAACTTATAAAAAACTGACTGGCTTGGCACCCTTCAATACTCAATAAGCTATTCAGTTGATATATATATATTTATATATATATATAACTATAGTTATATATAATATATATATTATATATATAACTATATTTATATATTATATATATATATAACCATAGTTATATATAATATATATTTAATATATAAATATAGTTATATATAATATATATATTTATATATTTATATATATTTTATATATATTTATATATGTTTATATATATATTTATATATATATTTTTATATTTATATATATTTATATATAAATATAAAATATTTAAATATAGTTATATATATAAAAAATAACAATATAGTTAAAATATTAACTATATTTTAAAGTGTAGCATTACTTTTTCCATACACTTAGGTCATTTGGCTCTTAATCTTACTGTCCTAGTACAATATTCTGTGCAACTCTTCTAAATTTCTCACAATTAGATGATACCCTTCCTAGTGTCCTGAACATTATTTTAGCAGTTTGAAGAGGAGTTAAAATGAGAGCTTCAAATCCCTATTTGAGTAAAAAAAGTTATAGTTCACTTACAAAATAAATTATCATAAAATAAAACCTAACGTTTAATAAAATAACATTTAATGAGCATTTACTACACGCCAGTTACTGTGTAATGCACTCTGTGTAAAATCTCATTATGTCAACATAAACAACCTTTGAGTAAAGTTACATATCACAAAACCAAAGTTTAGAGAGATTAAGTAACATACTGAATATCATATAGCTAATGATTATGGAACAAAAATTTGAACTCAGTTTTGTCTGACTGTAGAGCTGACATTCTTAACCAGTGTTTGACAAATTTTTTTAAAAGGGCCAGATAGGAAATACTTTAGTCTTGTGGTTCACGTCTTCATTGCAATGACTCAACTCTGCTGTTGTACCGAGAAGGCAGCCTTAATAAGATGTAAATGAATGGGCATGGTTGTGTTACAATAAAACTTTATTTATAAAACAAGGTAGTGTGACTGTAGGCCCTAGCTTGCCATCCCCTGCAATTAACCAACATACCAGCTGCCCTAATTCTTCCTTAAAGCCTTTCCTGATTACCACATAGACCAATTTCTTCTCCTTCTGGCTTTCTACAATAGTAACTGCTGTAATATCATAGCCTTAAGTCATATATCCTTGTTGTAATGTAAATGTGTCTTCCAATGCCTTCTTTTATTAACTATATTGACAAAAGATTATGCCAGACAGTAATTTTATATATTTTGTTATATTCCCCTATAGAATCCAAACTCACACTAGAGATTGTTTGTAGAAGAGTTTAGAAATTTACACGTGACTCTTATCTGGAAAGCTTTATCCCGATAAAGCCATTCACCTAGGGTAACATGATAGAAATGTAAAAATCAGGCAGTAAAAATGTTGATATAGAAATGCAAAGACAACTACAATTTTGCCAAGTCAGTATCTTTGATTATGAGAGTTTTATAGGCAGAGAAAAAAATTAATGTACTTATTTACATTTTCTCAATTTCAATTTTCTTCTCAGACTTTCCTACCTCAAGGAATCATAATTCACCAAAACCATGAGTATCAAAGTGTCACTGTATGAATGAGTCATAATTTAGGTAATAATCACTCTATAGATGTTCATATTTTTCACATTTTTGAAATGGATAATAACACCATTTTCTAGGGTAATAAATTTTTAGAGTAGGCTCTCCTCTAGGGAATAATGGCTTATTTTGCTTTTTCAGGCAGCTAAGAAAATCTTCATAAAAGAAATCCTAATACTCAATTTTTCTTGTATTTGTATTATACCCATATTTTTTAATGCAGTCTATATGGAGAGATTACTGAATATTTTTAGATTTAAAGCAGATTTATTATAGAACCATCAAGTTTTACGAAAAGTGTTTGTAATGCAAAGTATAGGAAAAATATTAGATGCAATATTAGCTAGATGGCCTTTTAACTGGAGATACCATCAGTTTCTGAGGAATGCCTTTGCTCAGGGACTTAAAATTTGGAAATCACTGAAGTGAACACTTGGTATGGGAAGGTTAGAGTTGCTAAACTTCTACACACACACACACACACACACACACACACACACACACACAAAACGGCACAAAATTGATAACAATGAGAAGAAATAAAATTTAAAATAAACATGGTTTTAGTCATCAGACTATGGCTGAAACTACTGACAGTTATCCAAAAGTCATTCTCAAACCTTTGTTCCCCTGCTCCATCTACCACAGAAGCCAAAAGTCTTTGATATCTCCACTTCCATTAAAGCTAGGGCAGCCATATGACATGAGCCAGTTAGTGCACAGTGGACATCTGCCGGGGATCTTTGGGAAAGCTTTTATTTCCTGATTAAAAGAGAAAGACTCAACAGGAACAACTGTTTCTCATTCTTCCTTCTTTGAATGACAGTGTGATATCTGGATCAACAGAGGCATCTGTCTTACAGCAAGCACAAGAGAAATCACAAGGACAAAATTCTGACAACATCGAGCCTGTAAACAAAAAGCAAACAACTACTCTCCTCAGACTTCTTGTTCTGGAAAAATAAATCCCTATTGTTTTATCTCATTGTGCATAAAACTTGTAGCTGAAAGCGTTTCTAGTTGATCTGTACTTTACAATTATTTTTTAAATTGTTAATCACTTTTGGGCCATGCAATGTGAGGAAAAATTTGCTTTTAAGATAATCCTGGATAAGATTTCTTTCTCTCCTTTTCAAAATGTTCAATTTTATATTACTAATTATTAATTAAATCTGCTATTATATTAACAAATAGCTATTATTTACACCTTTAAAGTTATTGGCATTTTAAATTTTTTTCCTTATTTATTTTTTAAATTTTAAGGCTTTTTCTTCTTATCTAGATAACTAGTTATTTGCATTTTTAAAAGAACATATCAGAAACTCTGAAATACAAAAACAAACTTTGTTGCCTTAGATTTAGTTAATATACCTTGTGCACAAAATCTCATAATATAATTTTTTTAAAAGTTTCGTAATTTACCAAAGCCAAAAATTATTCTATGACATTACTGGTATTATATAATTTCATCTGGTATTGTATGTCAAAGGACATAAGATATAAGATACTATTTAACCTGCCACAGACATTGAATAAGGGATTTAACATCTGTAAGCAATTTAGGAGACTAGGTACAGGTTTCTTAACTGGAAGGTTGAATATATCTCAAAAACACTAATTGCTTCAATGATTCTAAATTGCTTCGTGAAGTACACAACAATTAAATGCTCCAATAACTGATTTAATTCAAGTAAAGGCAAAAATTATACACCACAATATGGTATCTCTAGCATACTACTAACGGGTATAAAAACAATAAAATTAGCTAGCTCTTCAAGTTAGAGCTGGTTAAAAGACCTCAAAGCAACAAAATCTAGGTTATCAAGAAAATGACAGAAGCAATCCAATGTGGGTAAAATATCAGAAATGTTTTAGTGGGCTCTTTGGGGTCTGTTCAAGAAAAGCCAAGATGCTAGGAGTGGACTACAAGTTGATAGGTACTCATTGAATTGCCTGGCTGTGCTATAGAAATCACTGTGTGACATTTGAGCTACTCTTACTGGGAATCCTGGTGTGAGATATACCTGGGAAAAACAATACAGTTTAACAAAATAAGGTTATTAAATGAAAAACATTTCATCTGTTTTCCTTCCCACATTAAGAGCTGTGAGGAGCTCAGAAGTCTCCTTTCCCAGGCAGAACCAGAAGGGGGCCTCAAAGCAGTGGCTGAAACTGAAGGTACCCTGTAAGCTTCCACCACCAAGCTATACACAGAAGACCAACACTGAGCACTGTCAATGCCAAGTCTCAAAACTCATTCGTTCTTCATGATGGCTCAGAGATGACAAATACCTGTATAATTCAGGTACAATGTAAGCTTTACTAAGGTCTCTCAATGCAGCCTTTTCACTGAAAATGGAACATTTACAGCCAGTTAAACTTTAGTTAAGGCCTCATATTACATTCATCTATTTATTTTTCTCTATTTGTTAAGAAAAAAGTAATGGAAATCGTGTAGGGGAGGGGAGGTATTACATAAAAGCACATCTTTAAATCAGCAGAGTTCTAGAGGCAAGGAGAGAAAAGGACCACATAAACCCCAAATAGCATCTAATGAATAAATTCATGTCTGAAGCATGCGCCCATGCACGCACACACACACGCACACAAGCGCGCGCGCAAGTTTGCAGTTAATAACAAAATTTGTTCTACTCATTTAGAAATCCAACAAGATAGCAATATTTATATTTAGCTGTAATATAAGCAACCGTTGTTGGCAGAGGGCTGAATTTGGTACTAACACAGATGTCTAAGAAAAAGTCATTTTTCTAGTTGTATTTGTTTGCAAAATGATGTTTCATTATAGATTACCAAATAGTTATCCAAATTGTTACTACTTACCAAGTATGAACTATGTAAAAGGATTCTCAAAATGAATACAAACGTCAATGAAACTCAGAGTTAGCTCTAAAGATACTAAGTATCTGGTGAGAAAGATAGTATGAACTAAGTTTACTCTACACAAGGCACAGTGCTAATCATTAAGAATAATATCAGCAAGGCATGGTGGTTCACACCTGTAATCCCAATTCTTTGGGAGACCAAGGTGAGAGAATTGTTTGAGGTCAGGAGTTTGGACCAACCTGGGCAACACAGTGAGACCCTTATCTCTATAAAAAGTTAAAATTAGCTGAGCATGGTGGTTCTTGCCTGTAGTCTTAGCTACTGGGGAGTCTGCGGTGTGAGGAGTGCTTGAGCCCAGGAGTTCAAGGTTACAGTGAACTATGATCAGGTCACTGCATTCCAGCCTGGGCGACAGAGTCAGACCCTGTCTCAGAAAAAAAAAAAGGCGGCAAAAAAAAAAAGAAAAAGGCAGGTTAATTATCAGTTCTAAGCAAGCCAATTTATATAAATCAACATGAAGGTAAAAGTAAACAGAAGATAGTTAAATATGTGCTACAATTAATTTTACTACTAAAAAACTATATACAATTAACTAGAATTGTATAGGTCTTATCATAATGAAGTAAAAATTACATTAGATTCTTAATTCTAACACCAATCAGATTAATTTGTTTCTAGGTCAAATGCAAAAAACAACTAATGACCAACTCCACACATGCTTAAACAAAATCAGTCTATTTTTTTTTTGGAAGAAATAATTAGAAAAACAGAAGAGCAAATTCAGTTTTTATAGAATGAAATATGGTTTCTACAGATAAGCTTCAACAAAGGTATAACTCCAGGGCCTTGAGGTTAAATGGTGGTTGAGCCCTGGGTTTTTCTGTCTGTGAAATTAAGACCTTAAGTGCCACCAGTTGCAGACTCCTTTACCCTCGCCTATATATCCTATCTCTGAGATGAATTTAGAAATGCTGGCACTCAAATCTGTAATGTATTTGCAGCGCACACAGTGTGAATCCAATTGTGCTCAATCAACACTTTTGCAAAGGCAAACTAGCATAAAGACATTCTCAGAAGGACTAATGTGTAAGCAATCATTCTGTGAGGTCAGCTGACTCTGTCTATCAAAGCGCAAACTGTCTCAATGTGTGCATTACAGAAGTATTGTCCAATGTCCAATGGTTCTAATTCAGTAACTGGTTACTCAATTTCTTTATGCTGAATATGACATAAAGTGCTCAGGACTAACAGGAGATAGAAAAGAAGTACATGGTCTCTAAGAGTTAATAACGTAGTTACTTAAAACACACCTTCCAAATTTTAAAGACTAAATTCTTACAGGTTTAAGATTTAAAAAAAAAAAAAAAAAAGAAACAACAAAAAAATCTCTCCCTTATTTGTGTACGTTAATTCTGATCCCAAAAGCAGTGTTTAACCTTTGGAATTTGCTTAATTAAATAAATGGGCTCTTGCTCATCTTAGTGTCTGGTTCAAGTACCTTTATTATTTTAAAGGGGCAAAACATCAGTTTAGGTATTTACTTTTTGATATTTTGTCCAAATAATGTTTCACTTAGAAGTTAGTGTATACAGGTAGGATTTTTATGGTTAATAATCCATGAATATTCAAAATCTAATGAATACCAGTTTGATTCCAGTTAAAATGGCAATTGACTGGAATCAGACTGGTATTCATTAGATTTTGAATATTTATGGGTTATAAAAGCATAAAAAAGGAAGGTTAATCATCCAAAATTTATTCCAGTAAAAATTGCCATTTTAACTGGAATCAGACTGGTATTCATTGGATTTTGAATATTCAATTTTACTTAGAAAAGTAATGTATCCCAGTATGAATACAGGCCTCTACAAATTAATGACTGGGGGAGAAAAGGTCATGGAATCATGGATTATAGGAATTTAACAAAAAATATAAAATCTTTTTTCTCTTTTGCTAAAGGTGTGTTTCTCAAGTAGTTTTCTTTATATCTATTCCCCTGTATCCTTCTTTACCAAAACCATTTGATCTTGAACCTTTAAGTCTTGCTCTTTTGTGCTGCATGCATCAGTGAATCTTCCTGTTAAAAAGAAATCCATGCTAACTTATTTTTACTCAAAAGGCTTAGAATCAGAACTCTAAAGAAAAGACCAAAGGATATGGTAATTTGAAATTAACCAAGGTTTTTGGCTAAAGAACAATCATCCCCAGAGCAATTTCCATTCAAGAGAGACATTCTGCACTCTGTTGCTTTTCCTTTCTCATCATACATATTCACTGATAGCCATACACAAATAGTAAAATTAAAGAGCAAAATAAGTAATATGCTTATAACATGGGTAGCATTTTACACAGAATTATAAACTGCCATATAACGAACGTTTTCAACACCAATCAAGAAAAATCTTCAGATTACCTGAGATTGAATGTGAATATTAACTAACATGAATCAAGAGTGCAAGGTAAAAAATAAATGCCATATATTTCCAATGATATTCTCTCATATAAAAACATGGTCTTTTTTCAAATGATATTGAAACCCAATCTCTTTTACTGACACAGTAAAAAGGATCCAAATCTTGGAAACAGGTGAAAAAAATCAGTACTTTAATACCACAAACTCATTCATTCCTAATCAGATTCTATCCTTTACCGTGTCTCAGAGCAGAAGACCTATAAAGAGCTGAGATTCAAAGTATATCTTAATTTCAACTGTTTAGATATTTATCTTCTATCCATTTGCTTGCTTATTAACTGTTTCCCAATAAAACTCTTTCAAACAGATCTTTTAATAAAGGCTCGGAAAGAATTTCATTGGTAGTATTATAATTATTACATAGGGGAAATAACCCAGCGACAGCAATTATTCAGTTTTACAAAATGAATTAGTAGTAGGGTCTGAGAAAGAATCTAAGACTGATTCAAGACAATCCACTTAATCACAAATAACAAGGGCAAACACAGTCTTTTCCATGTGTCACCCTAATACCCACTTTTTTTTTTACCCCCAAAATCATTTTCACAGGGCCATATCAGCTATGTGAATTAATAGATTCTCCAGTGCTGTAGCAAAGATAAAACCTGATCCTTATAGTGGTTAAGTTTAGCAGCTACTGTTGCTTTTTCTTTCTTCTAAGCTCTTTGCTGTTTTTGATACTTAGCTGATTTGCTTAGGGGTAATTAAAAAGCAGCTGTTTTTCTATGATCTATCTGTCTATATATTTCTATGGTATGTGAGAGTGTGGGAGGGAAGAGTATACACACTGAAAAGTCACTTAGGCTTATCGGTAGTAGCACTCAGTAGGACTGAACTTTAATCTGGGAAGAGAATTCATTTGAGCCATTTCTTTTCAAAAAGAAATTTGGGATGCATTACAAAAATAAAATTTAAAATCCCGAGAACTCAGGAAAGCATAGAAATAGGAGAAAACAAGACAATTACTCCATTTTATTGACCCTGGTTATTAAAAAAAAACATAAAGTATTGAGACAGACTCTGAAATATGCAACTGTCACAATGAAAGCATTTCAGAGCAAAATTTGCTGCAATATGCTACTATGATTAAAAGCCATGTAATCTGGGAACCTCTGTAACAAAATGAAAATGAACTAGGAAAATAGCTTCTTACTACTTCTCTAAAAATAAAAGGCTGTAATTTTGTCATAATTACACAAAGGTAGGTGAGACTTTCATCTTTACCCAGCATTACAACTTATTTCCATCCATAGGTATTACAATTAACGTTGCTTTGAATGCACATATAGTTTAATACCGAGAATAAACTATTATTTTATGACACTACATGTGTTTTAAACTGAACCCACTATCATAACACATATTAAGGGTAGTCCTTCAGCACATACTCTCTACCCAGAGAAAAGATTCCCACACAGCTTTCCATGTACTCGTTTTTAAAATGTACACATATTATCGGACACAAATGAGAAACTAACGAGCAGCAGTGAGGTACACCATATGTTTCCATTGTAGGCTGAATCCAGGTCTTTGTTCCAATATTCCAGAGCCACTGGGAAGAAAGCTAACTATCCATTCATTAAAATTCATTTTTACATTATTGCTGGCAAAAGTTATACTTTTGATAGATTAAGTCAGAGCCCATCCTATCCTGACTATTCCTGCCTGCACTTGCTTCTTTAATACGGATTTCTTGCAATTCTAGGAAACTGCAAAATAACCACCCTGGATAACAGGTCGGTAGCAGGACAATCTGATAAACCAACGTAAAGGGTAGACACTGAAGAAGAATGCAAAGTTATTTTCCTAGTGAAATAGTTCAGAAGTTATTCTATATCAATAGCAAAATTTTTGCTTTTTATAGGCTACGCACCTATAACATCCACCAGATAACATCCACCTCGTCCTCAATTAGCAGGATTTTTCTCAATCTTCAGATCTCCCAGAACAGTTTTACTGGTGCAACTCAAACCAAAAACACTAACCACGCCCTTTATACCCAGAGTCAAGCTTCCTTTTGCTTTTTTGCCCTTAAAGTCGAAAAATGTAAATCTTTCACCCGAGAGGTTTTGCACCGGTTTCCTAACCCAACGCGGACTCTTTTAGCTGTGTCTTGATGTAATTCCTATTGGAAGACGTTTTCTCCAGGGCAGTGCAGACGCCCCGAAGAAGGACCCACGCTTACCTCCCACACACCTGCAACCCCTGACGGGATGCTGGAGCTTGTGCTCGGCGGACTGTGCTCCGCTCCGCTCTCGTTCCTGCTTTCGTCTCTCCCGGGAAACTACAGTCCAGACTGCGCCTCTGGCTTCTACAGGGACCCAAGCTCCGCCTCTCCCTCCTCTAGTTGGCGAATTTGGCAGCTGTTGCTCCTCCCCCTGCTGTTTCTGCAGCTGCCCGGACCGGAGGCAGCGGAAAGCAGCTGCCCTGGTACCTTTCCGCTCCCTGCACTTCTGCAGCTGCTCTGCCACTTCCACTCCCGTGGGGGTCCCTCTCCCCTCCTCTGTGGCTCACACCTGGAGCGGCCTCCTGCCCCACCCAGGCGTCTCTGCTGGGAGCCCCGGCTCAGCCTATCCTTCCCCGACCTGTGTGTCCGGATGCCCGGTGTGCCTGGGGCTTAGCTGCTCTCAGGGAAGCTGCCCCTCTGCCCAGTGCAAGTCCCCACACCAAGCCCTCCCTTCACCTGGGCGATTTCCCCGAGGCTTCCTCTCCACCCACACGGCATACTCAGCCCGACAGCCCCAGGATCCCCACCACAGGCCCCTCACCCCCTTCCTTCCTCTGCTCTGTCAGCCCGCCCCCTCAATGGGTGAGGCGCCTGCGGGGCCTACTCCGCACCCTGATTGGCGCAGGTGAGGGCTTGCCCCGCCCTTCCTCTCCTTTCCGTGCACCATCTCTCTTCATCTCACCTCCTCCCGCAAAGGCAGGGAATTCTCCTACTATTGGCTAGAAGTGTCACCACCCATCGCCTCAGGATCCCCCGCATGGCCTGCCGGGAAGTGTAGTCTTCCGATTGCAGGAATTGCGGACAACGCCGGCGAGCGGGACTACGAGTCCCCATAAGCCTCTGCACGACTCCGGCTGGGCAGGATTCCGGACAACGCCTGGTTCCTCTTGGGTCCTTCCGGCGTCGCCGGAGTGAATTGATCCGGGAGTTGAAGAGGGCTGCAAGGTGGGAAGTGAAGTCAGTGCCTCAGTTGCTGGTAAGGTGTAGCTGTTCTGTCCCAGTCCCCGTAGCTCTGCACCGAGCAGAAGAGGTCTAGGGTCACGCAGGGGCCATGGCTGAGGCACTTGGGCTTGGTTCTGGCAGGCGGAGCGGACGGGGCTGAGAGCGGGGCCCTACGGGCGTAAGCGAGGTTACCCTACGCGAGTGGCGTAAAGCGGGTTTGTAAATGCCGCCTGCCGGCTTGGGCC
The DNA here is from genome assembly GCF_000001405.40 of Homo sapiens. NCBI lineage: Eukaryota > Metazoa > Chordata > Mammalia > Primates > Hominidae > Homo > Homo sapiens. Next base: position 167,734,594 of record NC_000003.12, on the reverse strand, counting down.
CGAACGCCTCCAGGAAGTCTCCTCTAGGTGGGGGCGGGAGGGGAAGGGCGAGGTTGGCCCCTGGTGCCCCGGGAGAGGGGACAGGGCGGATGTGCCTGGGGTGGGGTCCTTTGAAGGTGTGGCTTCGGACCGAGAGGTGAGGCTGCTGTTTTCCCCCTGCTTTGTAAGTAAGAGAAAAGGGAGGAGGAAGGAAAGGGTGCTTGGGAGTCGGCTCTTGGGGGTGACTCGGGTTATGCCCTTTGAGGGAAGAGGAGCACTGGAAGAAGGAAGAGACAAATGTTGGGGTCTACGGATTCAGTTCCAGTTTAATGATGTGGCCCTCTAAGGAGATAATTTTGCCTTAAACAGAAAGACTTGACCCTCTTAGGTGTCATACCTAAGGTATGTTTTTACTCCTTTACTGCTTTCAGAGCGCTTTCATTTTGGGATGCTGATGAGGAAACCGAGGGATTATATGACGTGCCCAAGGTCACACACGTAGGGACAGACTTTCTGAATCTAGTTCGGTTCGAGTCCAGCTTTAGAGTAGGGACGTTGGTTGTGCTTTTTGAAAAGGGTGGAGGAAGTTACAAAGTAAATGTATTTTATATAGTATATCTAAGAAGCCATTGTGAGATAAAAAGTTGTTTCTTGAACCGGAGTGAAATTCCTCAATAAAGGAAAGATCCTTTTGGAAAAAATAAAAATGGCCAGTTTCAACTTTTACAGATTTTTCCCCTTTTTTTAGGGGTGTATTAAATGATAGACTCTACTCTCACAGTTCATTTTTACGGGTAGGTAATAGGATGGGAGAACAACAGTTAAACAATATATCCCATCCTTAGAAGAATATTCTTTTCTTTTTCTACCTTAGGACTGTTTTTACTCTCATTTTGTAAAACTGATAATAGTGGGATTGGAATTCTTTCACAAAACTACACTTTTTTCAAATAATGTAGCGTTAGGAGAGTTTAGTGTGCCCATTACTAGAAAAGAAGGTATTTTGCATTTCTTGGAGGTAACATCGTCTTTTTTGAGACTTTACTTTTCCCCCATTTTCTTGACTCTGGGCTGTATTTGTGTGTGTGTCTGCAAATAATAAAATTGGGCTCTTGCATATTTTTATTTTTCTTAGCATCAACTGTGACTTTCAATTCATTCTTACTTTACATTGAAGAATGAAAAAACAGTACACGTATAGTTCATATCTTGCAGAAAGTAGTGCCTTTATGCAAGTCTTATCCTCTATAATGATTATGACCAGTTATAGCTCATGACTATTATTATTGGATAAGTTTTTAATAGAATTGTTAGAGTATGTTCATTGATGGCAGAATTTATTTGTGATAACTTTATATCCATACAGGTTAGCATGTAATAAATCATGGCTTACTCTTAACATGTAATAAATCATAGCTTACTGTTTTATATATAAGTTGATCATCAGACTATGCTGAATTTTGAATGTACTCTGCAGTTACTATATTATCAACAATGTGCTTCACTTTTTAATGGAAAAACATTTTTTCGGAACAGAGGTATTATCTTCCCTGATGGTTGAAATTAAGATGGTCTGGAAATTAATACGATTTTTAAAATAGAAAAAGTATGATACTATAGAATGAAGTAAAATCAGGAATAATGTACCATAAGTAATGTAGTACACAGACAAGGAAGACCCAGTTAAACAAATGGAAAATTATGTGGTGATAACTGACTTTGTGCTGGATTAAGAAAGGTGCAGTGATGTAAGTAGACCGTAAACTGAACATGAGTCAGTGATGGTAAAGCAAGAATATTAATCTGTTTTCTAGATGACAATGTAGGTATTTGCCTTTTGTTGAAGGAGGTATGAAATAAGTTCTAACCTTTGGCATGTAACTCTGTCATTATGGAAAGAGCTTTTGAACTATGAGGAAATTTTGGAAATTAGTTAATGTAATGCATTTGTTCAGTGTGTTTTAGATTTTGTTCTTGGTTCATTTCTGCCACTACTCTTTATCTCTGAGGCCAATTATAGTTTTGATATTTCTTCTATTCGGATGGTGGATTAATGTTTGTATTGTTGTTATCATCTTTCAGTCACATGCTGCGGTACTGTTGTCACTTTAGATCTCTGCACGTTGGATAATTAGGAGTTCACAGAGTTATGTGTACACGTGGTTTGCAGCTCACCAGTGTCTGCATTTCTTCTCATTTTGAACTTTGCAGGAGCCTTATGTCAGCTTTTGGACATTATTTCTTAGAGGACTTGGGATGTCTTCCGTATATTATACATCTGTCTGTTTCTCTTAAGGATGTAAGGTCTGTAAGAATAGGGGCTGTTTATTATTGTAGTCTGAGTAGGTAAGATAATATTTACAAAGAGAATGAAGAGGCTCAAGTTGGTTAAGTGACTTGTAACTGGTGGGAGTAAGACAAAATCGAGATCTTCTGACTACAGATCTTTAATATTTTGGAGTAAAGACTTAGTTCCCTTAGATTATTTACATGAGAAGAAGACTTAACGTGACTTAAATATTCAAATACTATTACCTTCTTACTCTGTTTAACACTAAAAATTTATCTCTTCTCCTATCCAGCTCTCCGTCCTTATCTCCAGCCTTTCTCATTTACCATGCCTTTCAGTTACTACATACATAAGCTGCTTCCTGACTTGGTGGCCTTTACATATTCCGTCTCACTCCTTGGACTGTTCCCCTCACGCCTACCTAAATGTGGCCACCTGGTAGTCAGTTTTCACGTCTCAATTTAAATATCGTTCGTCAGGGGAGCCTTGCCCGCCTTCCCAAAATCAGAATAGGTTTCCGCCATGTATTCACCATACTCTGTACTCCTTTGTGGCATCATCATAATAGAAACTTAATTATTTCTGTATTTATTTGACAAATACTGTCTCCTCACTGGACTATAAGCTCCCTGAGCAGGGCCCTCTCATTTGTCATGTTTTACCCCACTACTTACGCAGTACCTGGCACATTGTAAGGGTTCAGTAAATATTTGCTGAATGAATGAAGGAGTGTATTCATGCACAGTGCTTCCAGCACTTCTCTGGGGACAGAAATAGAGAAATGAATAAAGCGGATATGCTTTCTGGATTGAAGTATATAAGAACTTTCAAATGAGCCATAATGCTTAGGCAATTTAGGTTATATGTAAAGGAGTCATTGACAGAATTTTAATATAAATTGTGGAAAAATGTTTGTTCTTTTTGGAGGTCTCTGAAATCAGGATTAATTTTCTAAGTGGAAATGATAAAGGAATCACTTTCATTTGCCGCAGAATTGCTGTGTAACACAGCATTTTAGAGACTTATCACTGTCCTGCTTTTTGCAAGCGATATTCATTATAACAAAATATAGACATGGAAGAAACTTCTAATGGACTCTTCTTCCCTAATGTTGTCTCGTTTTGCCCTAAAAACCTTTATTTCCTCTAGGTAGTAGTATTAATACTGTTTTATAGCTGAAGACATCAAGAAAATAAGTAAATTTACTTATTAAACTAAAAAAAGTTTAATTAAATTGCTAGAGTTTCCAGAACGTTGGTACTGGAACCATGGTTAGAATCTGGATCTATCTCCGTATTCTAGAATCCATAATTTTTTCTTTTTCTTTGCTTTTTTGTTTTGTTTCTTGCTTTTTAACCTTGCTATCTTCCTATGAATTATACCTTTAATATCACTTGATTTAGACAAGGTGGCTTTGTAAAATTGAGTAGTTTTTGTTTCAAAGGAACTTATATTTTGGGTTTCCTGAAAATTTTTCTAATACTTTTCTAATCTTATTTGCTTTATAGCTGGAGACTTAAGCATAAAAAGATTATTTTTAAAACATACAAACTGAATTTTAGGGATAAATTGTGTTAGGTTTTGGTCTTGGAAACAAGTTCTGCAGTCATTTGTAGTACCACGGTATGGCATAGAGTAAGGTCAACAGCCCTGAGTTTCTGTAGCCTTGTATGCCTTCATGGATTTACCAGTTTACTCTTCCACAAGATCTTGTCAAAAAGAGATTGCTGATAATTTGGCTTTAAAATTTGGTAATACTATCCATTTTATTATTAAAAACAAGTCTTTGCTAAATCCTAAACTTACTTTTTAAAAAGTCAGTGTTGATGTTACTTGAATCTTGGATAAAATTTTCATATTTACCTAGCATAACCAGTATGTGGAGGATAAAACTGAAATACTGCTTTTTATATGTTGTTGGATAATTAATATCATTATGATAGGTGTTACTAAGAATTTTAAGCCACTTACATGATAAGTAATTTTTTCCATAATATAAACTGTAAAAGTGATTTAGAAGTTAAATGTCATTGTTATCTATGTTATTGCATTTGAAATATTATAGTAAGCTGCAGTGTTAGAGGGTTATGCTTTAGGGACACACACACACACACAATGCAAAAAATGAAAGCACATTTATTATAGCAATTAGAAATAATTTATGTGCTGAAAGATAAACACTGTGGTTTGATGGTTCATTTTTGTCTGTATGAAGATGGTAATTTCAATTTTGTCATTTAAGCTACAAAATTTAAATGTGTCTTAAGTGTATTATATTACACTTATTTTTCAAGCTCACCCTTACATTTTTGGTTATGTATAACCATTTTTAAAATCACCCAAAAGTGATTTTCTGCTGTTCAGTTTCATTCTTATACAGTTGATAGAATCCAGGTTGCCTATAGGGTTAAAAGAAAAAGAAAAGAATTTTATTAACAAGCTTATGAACTATTGGGTAACAGCAGTGGAACATGTTAAGTGGTAGTCACTAACATATACTTAGGCTGGTCCCTTGGGAATAAGTTTACCAGAGGTTAGTCTAAATAATGACTTTTTGATTCATTTACTTATTGAATGCATATTACTTGTGAAATTGCCTTAAACCTTCTTTGGAATGAACTGGAACCTAATATAATAGCTAGCATTTATTGAGTATTAAGTAACTAAGTGCCAAGTCTCATGCTAATAAGCATTTTACAGGATCTCTTATAATCCTTACGACAACCCTTCGAGGTAGAGGCACTATTATCTCCAGTTTTTAAATGAGGAAACTAAAGTACAGAGAGGTTAAGGAACTTGCCTACGGTTGCAGGAAAAATTGCTTGGAATTAGGATTTGAATCCAGGCTGGCTGACTCAAGAGACCATGTTTTTCATCATTATAGTAAAAATGATGTTAGTGATTGAACTGCATTGGAGAGAGAAATTAGCATTAAGAGTTGTAGTTACAGAGCAGTTATGTCTTAAATGCTAAGGTCAGTGTGGCAGGCAGAAATTACTTAATATTCAAACTTTTTAAAAAACCTATTAGGAAATACACGTTGTAGACTAACAACTTCAACACAGCCAGTTTTTTTCTAGCATTGGAGTAGATTTCTTTTGAGTACCAGGTGAAGTGTTTGACTTGTTATGCAGAGACCATATTGAAAAAAGAAATATGTATATTATAATACAAGAGTCACAATCAGTGTGGCAAGCTACTCTTTGTGAGAGCTCACTGTGGCTCTCAGTCTGGTGTGGGGAGTGGCAGATCCACGTTTCTTATCTGTCTCATTCTGGGACTTTTGCATAGGGAATGGAATTATCACATACTGCAGTAGTTATTTTTAGTGAAGTTATTTTTTTGTTTGTTTTCTTCAAACAAATGTTCACCATGTCTGTTGAACTTGCATAGGGTAGGAGTATCATGTGAAGCAGGTACGCTCCCTGGAGTGTTAATGCCAAGTGGCAGTGTGACATGTCACTGTATTTCTTTACTGTCTCTCTTCCCTGCCAAGACTACATACCTTCAAGGGTATGTGCTGTTTGACTTTTCATCACCATATCTCCAACTAACACTGTTGCTGACTTAGACTGACTATGCAGAATACTGTGTTGGATACTAGGAAATAGAGAAATGGATACAACTTCTCTTTAGGGAGTTTATACTTCAGTAGATACAAGGGGAAAGGGTTGAAAGACCATTGTATGGACATTTAGTCTTTCTAATATACTAAGTACTTCCATGTGCATCAGTTCATTTTACAATTTTAGGTTAGAGCTGATAGAAAAATAAATGATTGTTTCTCTAACTGCCATCTGGTCCCTGGCACTGAAATGGGTCTCCCTGTCTTATTCAGTCATTCTCTCTTACTTCAAGATAGACTGGAATTCAACTGAGATTGAAGTTATGGAATGACAAAACCCTAAGATGTTACACACCGGCTGCCTCCTCAGACTTATATAAGGTTACTACAACAGAAGCCAGTTGGGAATGTTAAATGAGTCAGACCTGGCCTCTAGACAGCAACTGCACCCTATACGAGTTTAGATTGTTGCTAGGCTTTTTTTCATTTAATTCCAAAGCATTTGGAATCCTTTTTTTTTTTTTATTGAGAACTGCACATCTTTCTCTATGTCTTTATCCATATTAAAATCGGTATTTATGCAGTACTGTCAAAATTTGAGAGATTTCCAAGGTTCTACCTTATTTTTGGTATGCTCCCTTAAAAAATAAATCACACTTTTGCGAAGTGAAGGTTACAGGAGGAACAGTAGATGCAGTAAAAACAGATACTATCCTAGCCCTAATTTCTTCTTGTAAGAAATAGTATTTGTATTTGAGATCAATTGGGAGCTAAAGGTAAAGTTAAATGTCATCATCAAGATAGAACCTTGGCCTCATTAGCACCTAATGTTAAATAAGGCAGAGGCTATTTATTGTCTGGGGCTAATAGTTTCTGTCAACATTTGAGTGCCCTGTGGCAGTGTTTTTGGTGCAAAGAAATTGTGTAAAGTAATGAAAGTACCTGTTGCATGTTTTAGAGGATCTTAAGCCATTAGGAGTCATTAAGTTAAATTCTAGGTATCTAAGATTATAAGTGATACAAAGCAAGTAGCTCTGATCCAGGGTGGTACAGATTCTTTTAATTGTACCTTTAAGCAGAGAGGACCTAACACTCTGAGGAATTAAGTTTAGTTGAATTTCTAAGGGATTTTAAAGGAAAGCTTTAATTAACATCGTATTGGAGAAACTAAGACAAGGAATAATACTAATAAAAAGGAAAATAGACATGTACCTCAATTAAACACCAAACAACTATTCAACTAGGCATTATTCATGAACCATTAGGTTGAGAACTTTATGGGCAAAAGATGAACATATTCAAGGGGACAGATTTGTTTCCTGTCTTCCAACAAGTGTTTTCATTTAAATTTTACTCAGATCAGAATTTACCAAAAATTTAGACATAGGAAAAAAAAATGAGGATTGTCACAACTAAAGAGATGTATGTTTTTCCCCCTGAACAAGTTGCTTTGAAATATCGTAGGAGCCAATTGTTACTATTTTGTTACTGTTTCCATTTCCCATCAGCTAATTCTGAGGTAATGAGCTCTTTAATTTTGTTGTCAACTTTTGATTATCTTGTACAGATTATAAACCTTTTATGAATTATCTCAAGGGCTTTGATCACATCTTGATTTCAGTGTGCAACCCAGCCTGCTACCCAGCCTGCTTCTGGGCCATGGTTTCCTTTGTTAAGTTTATCTATGTACATTTAGAAAAGTAATTTTAACATTGGTTTGGCAAAAAGTTTTAAAATGCACCTGATGGCCAAATTCTTTTATGTAAGCCAAAACTAAGTGTATTTATGCATCCATTTTGGCAAATGGGAGATAAAAGGTTTTGAAAATATGCTATGTAGGTGGCCTTTATGACATTGTGATATCAGTGTTTGACTCTCATTGTGTATGTTATGCAGGGGCAGGACTAGGGTGAGGCAAGAGATATGCCTAGGGTACAAACTTTGAAGAAGCACTAACTCTCTCAGTCATGCAAATCAGAGCAAAATTTTGTGTTCTAGGCATCTGGTTTGCCTCACCCTAGTTGCAATCGATTCCATGTCAGGTTCCTAGAATTTTGGCTAAAATATTAATAACAATATGAATAGAATGGTTATTATGTGTTAGCCACTGTAGTAACTATTTTATATGCAGTTAGTACTCTTAATCTGGGGAAGTGAGTACTTCAGTATTTCTGTTTCTCACTAGTTTAGAAATAGAGATTTACAAAACTGAAATGATAGCATCCAGCTGAGCAAAAATTCAAACTGAGGTTTTTTTCCTTCCAAACTGAGCACTATCTCCTGCTGTATACTGTCTATCTATGTGTAGAAAAAGTTACTTCTTACCCATTTTATAAATTTCTGTATTAAGAAACAGTACTCTGGCCAGGCACAGTGGCTCACGCCTGTAATCCCAGCACTTTGGGAGGCTGAGGCGGGTGGATCACCTGAGGTCAGGAGTTTGAAACCAAACTGACCAACATGGTGAAACCCCCATCTCTACTAAAAATACAAAATAGCCAGGCGTGGTGGCAGGTGCCTATAATCCCAGTACTCGAGAGGCTGAGGAAGGGGAATCGCTTGAACCTGGGTGGAGGTACGCCACTGCACCCCAGCCTGGGTGACAGAGTGAAACTCTGTCTCAAAAAAAAAAAAAAAAAAAAAAAACAGTACTCTACAAAATATGTAAGTGCATACACTTGACATGGTGCAGTTAACTTTTAAGATGAGCTGGAAGTCTCAGCAGCACCAAGTTGAAGATCCACAAGCTTGTGCTGCTAAGTACCCTAGAGTTGTCAGACATATTAAAGAAGAAACCAAAGGATAGAGAGGTGAAATGACTTGTTCAGAGACAAAGATAGTTTATGAATGACAGGACCAGAATTTGAGCCCATGCTTTGAGACTTTAAATGCTTATGCTTTTTCCCTGTATCTTTCTGCACAAATTGTCCATTTAATATTTTTAAAGCATATATATATATATATATATATATATATATATATATATATATATATATAAACGATACAATGGTAAAGTGCTATATACACTTACCATTAACAAGAGATTGCTTCTAGATGTCCCTAAGTGTAAAATTCTGTAAGTACTAAACTGACAGTAGTGTATGTTCAGGGAGGTTAGGTTCCACTTAACTTTATTAAGAAAACTGGAAATGGAAGACATTGAATTATAGAAGATGTAATTTGCAAGTCAAGGAGAGAGATGTAGGTATATCCTTAAGACATCAAGCTCATTTTACTCTAAGTAGGATCACTGACTTACCCTATTCCTCTGCCTCCCTTTTTCCTAGCTTTCTCCTCTAAATCTTGGTCTCTTGTTTGGAAGTGACTAACAGCATTTTGGCATGAGAAAGCCCTAAAAAGGTACGTAAACTGTGTCAGCAAATGTTAACCCCACCCCGCTTTGTTAAATGGCCAGACTACCATCTATACAGTCTTTGTAAAAATCCATTTTCTCTAAGAGTTTGATGAGTGATTTTTTTTTTTTTTTTTTTTTTTTTCTTTTTTGAGACAGAGTCTCGCTCTGTTGCCCAGGCTGGAGTGCAGTGGCACGATCTCGACTCACTGCAACTTCCGCCTTCCAGGTCCAAGCAATTCCCTTGCCTCAGCCTCCTGAGTAGCTGGGACTACAGAAGCCCACCACCGCATCTGGCTAGTTTATGTATTTTTAGTAGAGATGGGGTTTCACCATATTAGCCAGGCTGGTCTTGAACTCCTGACCTCAAGTGATCCACCTGCCTTGGCCTCCCAAAGTGCTGGGATTACAGGCATGAGCCACCGTGCCCAGCTGATGAGTATGATTCTCTGTGTTATATTATTGAGAGAAAGCAAGGAATTGTCAGTTAATTGAAATCCTGGGTTAACCAACTCTTGGGGAGGACCTCCTTAATTAGAATTTGTAAATAATTTTTAATGATTTGATGCTTAAAGAAAAATTTGTCTTAAAGAAATTCCTATTAGATTACTTTGGAAAGTATAGCTGATAACAATAATGAAGTCTTATTATCACTGAATTTTGGTTCCAGTGATAATGTGGCTGGGTCCAGGCTTTGTTAATAGAATTAATTTGATTTTTGTGTTTGTTTTTATTTTGCTAGGCATGCTATTTGAAAAGTATATTAGCAAGACTGATTCAATTTATAAATTGCCCATCTCAACTCATGAATTTGGTCATTCAGCAAACATTAAGTGTCTGTTATGTGCCCGCTATGCTGACTGTAATGTCTCTATTGGGAAGAAGAAACACACTTATAAATGGGAACATAAACACAGGATTCTGCTCACTGCTAGAATGAACACACTTCTCTTAACTGAATGTTCATGCACATTTGTTGGAGATCCAGCATACATCAGTCAGTCAATCAATCTTTCCCTTTTTAGAGAGAGAAATTATAGGAATTATAAGAATTTAGGGCCAAGAGGGCTGAGTACTGGATTTTACTAGAGAGAAAAGCAAGACAAAAAGACCTGCCTGCCTACAAACGTTTTAAGTGTAGAATTACTTAAAAAGCTGTTTTTCTAACTGAGAAGTGCCTATACCAGTACCAAGAGCTTCTGTTGTTCCTCTCCTTTCATTTGATAGTAAATAGCTTTGGCTCTAGACTTATCTCAAGTCCCAGATGGAGTAAAGTAAGGCAGTTTCAGGAAATACTGATTCTGAGCCCTGAGATATACCCATGTGTGGCTCTTTAAATGAGCAGACTCGAGTTGGTTAGGGAGGGCAGAAACACCAAAGATTTAAGAGTTTGGCAGCGGAGTGGCGAATACCTGTTTTTGGGCTTCTTACTCTAAGCAAGTGATAATTATCTTCAGCTCAGGAAGATATTTAAAGCTGATTATCTTCTGTTAAAAATTAGCAGTGCTATTTTGAATATTCAAGAAAATGAGGGGTAAATTATAAGTGAGAAGATTGCTTATACTCTGTGTTGATATCCCAATATCACAATGGGTGTTTTTGAAGAAAAGTGTGTTTAAAAGTATGCCTTTTGTCTAGGTTCTTTCAACATTTCTTGTTCTTGGTTTTTATTTTGTGGATGCCAACAGTACACAAAGCTTACTTTGAACTGAAGATTTCCCTGCAAAGCAGCACATTTGAAACGTGAGACGTAAAGTTCTTGCTATGTTGTTATCATACCAACATTACATTTTTATTATGTATTTAATTATTAGCTAGATGTTGTGACCAGGAGCAAGTCACTACATCCTTTTTGTACTTCGGTTTCTGCTGTAGGTAGTGAAATGGGTGAAATAACTTTTTAAGGCCATTTCAGATGTGGGATTTGTAGTCAGTGATCTTCAGTTTTCTGTATGTGCATAATCAGCACCTACTCCAGAAAATAGTGTACCTTAGAGGGTTGAAATTTTGTTAATGTGCTACCCAGCTGCCGGGACTTGGTCACACTCATCCTAAAAGGAAGGCACCTTGTCAAAGGGGGCCTCAGACCTCACTCAGCTCAGCCAACCCTTGCTGTTTCCATAGCAGGCTCTTTGTTGCATGGGGTAATTGCAGGTTGTCCCTTGAACTATTTCAAATGAAGAAGCATGCGGAAGGAATGACAAAGGCATATTTTAACTCGAAGTTGAAATTGACAGTAATTCAATATTTTAAAAGCCGTATTGGAATTGTTGATTTCTAATCTCATGTAAATGCTACTGAAACTGAGTGGCCCCAGTTGTTAATGTGTGTTCTAAAAAGTTCAGTTTTAAATTGGTTCTTTGGAGCATTTTTCATAAGAACAGTATTAAAAGATGGCATGTATGCCATAGGCCAGCCACTTATGTAGCCCATGATGTTGCCAAAATACTGTTCTTTTTGTTGACAAATAAGTACTGTAAAGTTAGTTTTAGAGAAGAGACTATTTATTAAACATGAGTTTTAAAAATATTAAATGCCAGTATTTACAAAAGGTAAAAATTAAGTATTTGAGTAGGTTTATAGGGGGTAGGTAGGTAGAGATGTCAGCAGTAATTCTGAAAGTGACTCTGGCCACTTACCTTATCCCTTTACCTCTGGCAGCCTGTACATCTGCAGTTATATGCGTATGTGTTCAAAAGAGTGAAACACAAGAGTAATTCCATTGTGCTTACTTTTCTCATAAGTATTTCACCTCCTTTATACCGAGATTCTTGAAAACTTACCAGCTCACTCTCTTAGCCCCTGCAGGGATTTCTCACCCCAGTATATAAGTACTCCGCTCTTTGAAGGTTACCGCTTTAACCTCATCAAGAAATCAAATAATTTTTTAAAAGTTACTTTCCATACTCAGTAGCACTTAAAACTTTTGGCTACCTTCTTCTTGAAACTTGTTTCGTGATGCTGGTTTTCTCCAGTTCTCCTGTAGCGATATAGCAGCCTGACTTCTCCCTTTTGTGCGCACCACAGTTGTATGTTTTCTGACTTTCCTTTTATAAAACACGTTTAATGGGGTCAGAGACTGTCTTGTCTTGTTCACTGCTCTATATTTAATACCGTGCCTCTTTGTGACCATTGAAATATTTATTAAATAAATAATTTTTTTTCTGTCACACAATGAGAGCTCTTCAAGGTCTGTTCTTGGTTTTGTTTTGCCATTTCTTACTTGATTTTTCATTGATGATACCATGCCTTCTGCTGCTGTCTATATTCTGCATTCATTCTGTCCTTTTCATTTTAACTGATACCACTGCCTTTTAGCCATCCTCCTTTTCCCCAGGTTTTTTTTATTATGAAGTTTTCCCAATTTATTTTGAAGTGGAAAAGCAGATTACCAAGTGACTTAAGTAGCTAAATAGGAACAGCAGGGCCACAATTGGTATTTATCTACTTCTTTTTGCTTATTATTTTGGTCTTGTTTATTTCTGACATAGGTATACTGAGTCTGTTAAGTTTTCCTTGTCGTTATTCTTCCTCCATTCTCTCCATCATGCTGTGACCAAAGCCATCTACTTAACTAAGTTACATAATCAGGTAATGGTATTCTTTTTCCCCATAGAATGAAATTCAGGAATTCGCCTTTTGCTCTTTTTGTTCTGTCAAGTCATGGAGTAGGTTTCAGGTGAGAAACAGGAAAACTCTTTGATGTTTAGAACTGTCAGAAATGGGACTAAACAGTTTCCGTAGGTGTTGAGTTCCCTTTCACTGGTAGCGATATGGTGGAATACTAAGCAGCTTTCCAATGGAACAGGTTATTGGAGCTTTTTGAAGCGTCACTGCAGGCCTTTGATTGTATCTTTCAGTCTTGTTAGGTCTTACACATTCTGGCACAGATAAATTTTTAATGATTAGGAACTGCACTTCATACCTAGCAGTGTTAAACATACTCTGAACATGTTGAGTGAATAATAAATTCTGGGTACTTTTCTTGAGTAGATGAGGTGGGGTTCTTTATTTCCACTTCAAATTTGGTTTTGTTATGTGAGAGTATAAGATCTGTATTCAGAGTCCTGGGATCAAGTCTTGGGTCTCTACCTGTGTGATCTTGGGCAAGTTATTTATTATCTCTGAGCCTGCTTTACACTTGTAAAATTAGAATTGCAGTTTTTTAAAGCAAGTTATTATAGGACTAAATGCATGTGCAAAATGTTTTATACTATGAAAATGCTTTACAAGTAGTAGAAATTAATCAAAAAATGGCTTTTTGTTTAATATATGTATGTCACTACTGTTATTCACTTCATGATTAGGATCATTTTTTTAAACCATAGTAAAGGAAATATATAGTTGTATTCTCTTTAAAAACTAACATATTTCCTTAACACCTCAAGGCAAAATTTCTTTTATTGTTGAATTCTTGATTTTAATCCAAACTACCAGCCTCTGGGTTTTTCTTCTTTCTCACTTTTTATGTCAGATTTGGACAACAATTTCTGTAGTTCTTCTAAATACCAGAAGGTATCACTGGCACAATTAAGTAGCAAGTATTTTACCAAGTGGATCACATTTGGTAGAATTTTTTTCAATTTTATGTTTGACATATTTGGTGCTTGTTATGTTTGTGTTATTTTCAGGTGACAAAATCAATAAACAAGTAGCAAAAAGGTTTTAATAAAAATGTTAAAACACCCTAGTTCTTTCTTCTTTATTGATTCTTCGATTTGGTTTTCTGCACACACTTACACATCATGCATTTCCTGATTATAATTTTATATTATGTATAAATATTATAAGTATGTGTCTTATTCATATGTTCTCTTAGATTGTATATGGTGGCATGACATACATCATTATTCCATGGTGCTTCATAGAGAGCTCTCTGAGTTCAGGTTAAGCAGCGTCTTAAGTCACTGCTTTGTGAAGTAGTACCTAACCAAGGACTTTAGGAAAGGGCAGTTGTTGAGTCTTTGGAGGAAAAGGTAAGTTTCTTGCCAACTAGGTTTGCTTTCACAAGTAGAATATATTAAAAAATAGCTTTTCATAAAATAGGAACTCTGTAATTTGGAAAGGAAAATTATTGGTATTTGTCGTTTCTCCTTAATATAGTAAGTCTCTGTTCTTTCTTCCTCTTTCACCAGATCAGTGTGTTTTTTGTGTCCAATTCTTTTATCACCAAAAAAGAGAAGAAATATTGCAGTGAATGAAGATTCCTCTGCATTTTAGCACTGCTTTTTCAACTGTAGTTGGCTTTTGAATGAGGATGACAATGGAAGAGATGAAGAATGAAGCTGAGACCACATCCATGGTTTCTATGCCCCTCTATGCAGTCATGTATCCTGTGTTTAATGAGGTGAGTTGGGTAAACATGTTCTTGCATGAACTCTGCAATTCTTTAATTCCTGCTTTATTTATTCGTCTGCTTGTTCTTTTGTATAACAAATACTAGCATGAATGAACTCTTATCGGTGCGTTAGGCATTGTATCAGGGCAAAAAATAGTGAAAACAAAGCCAAGCAGATATGCCTCTTCCCTCTAGAGATTATGCTATAATGGGAAAGAGACATTTAATAAAAGAACACAAATAATTATATGAATGAACAATGGTGATGAAGTACTATGAAGTGTAAAAGCAGAGTATGTTAAGAAAGAAAATAGGTGGGACCTACTCTAGGGGTCAGGACAGGCCTCACTTAAGAAGAGACATATATCCTAAGACCTGAAAGAGATCTAAAAGAGATAAATAGAGTTAATTGAAGAGTTGGAGATAAGTCCATTCTAGGTAGCCAGAATAGCAGGCACAAAGATCTTAATTATATTGTCAGTGGTGACAAAACTTTTTAAACCGATATTTGGAAGATATCATTGCTTTGTATCTGGAGAAGATGTAGTTGCTTTTTAATTTGAAGAATTGTCTTAGACTTAATATTGATATATTTTGGGGTTTTCTTTTAAATTAATATTAACATGCTAAGGTATGTAGAGAATTCTGGAACTGAAATTTTCTTAGAGATTATTTAATTCCTTTTCTATAATGGGGAACTAAGGCCCTGATATGTGAAATTATTTTCCTAAAATTACCTATAACAAATCAAATCAAGATCTCCAGACTTCAAATTCAATGGCTTCAGCCTTTTAAAATTTTAATATTTTTTTGCTATTTTATTAATCTAATTTGCCTTTAGTACCATTAACCTTATTGTTACTGTTATAGTCCATATGCTCTCACCATTTCCAATGAATTTTCATCTCTCTTTGTAAAATACTTTCATTAAAGTAAGATTCTGCATTTCAAAACCATTTTTTTCCACATTATTGGATTTGATTACAGTTTTATTCTATAATCTTAAGTCTTAGGGGCAGTAGAGAGTGATCCATTTACACTCGTTGCCATGAAAGCCACAGATTTAGTTGCCAATGCAGTCAACATTTTAAATTTTCAAACACTATCTCTCAAGTAATGTTAGGTTTGACAACCATAGAAGAATGGACAAAATGGTGGCTTGGATAAAAATTTATTTCTCTGTCACATAAAAGATTCTGAAGGTAAGTGGTCCAGGGCTAGTATTGTTATGACTCAGTATGAGAAACTCAAGTTCTTATCTTCTGCTCTGTCATCCTAGTGTTTGGCTTCCATTATCAATCAAGGTCACCTCAGCATACAAGATAGCTGCTGAAGAGCCACCCATCACATCCTAAGTTGTTGCCTGGAAGGGGAAAAAGTGGGGCAGAGAGTGGGGTCCCGCATCTAGCTGAGTTTGCTTCCTTAAAGTAGCCTTTTTGAAAGGCCTACACAAGACTTCCACTTAATTTTTTTGTCAAGAACTTAATTCTAATGACGAAACCTAGCCACAAAGGGGTTGGAGAAATTCAGGAGTGTTATCAAGGAAGAAGCATCTTTTGAAAAACCTCCTGTTAAACTGCCACCATGGTAGCATTGGAGACACTTTTTAGGTCTGGTTATGTCCCTCTTTGGCAGCTGTAGCCAACACCAGTAATTAATTTCACCATTTTTTTTCTGATACTTACCCATTCATTTCAAGGAGCTACTGTTAGAAGCAAGTGGCTTCAGTTCTGTTTAGTAAATACTTACTGAATGCCACCCATTGGTTTGCTGAATACTTCTGTTAGGGTCTAGAGGTGTGAAAAAGGCTGCATGCATGTTCTTAAGAATCTATTCGGAAACACAGATATTTAAGCAAGTAAATTTTTAAATTATTCTTGCCCTAGAAATTTGATAAGGAGACAGATCCTATAAGCTAGTGAGTAACCTATCTTGGTAACAATTTAGTTTGACCTTCTCAGTTACTCCAGGAACCATTATCACAATTCCACCCAGAGACACTCTTTCTTTTCATGTCTATATTCTGAATTGATAAGTTATTGGGCAAAGTTGTTTGGAAGAATTTTCTTTATTTATCTGGTATTTTGAGCCCTTACTTGAATGGAGGGAAATTTACATTGCACATCTTCAGTTTAATCCTCTAGTGAATGAAGAGAAATTAGAAAAGGTTTTTGTTCTAACAATTTCAGTGGCCTTTTTCTTGCATAATTCTCAAATTGAATTTACTGATCAAACATTAACAGCATGGTGTCAAGCGTTTAAAAAAATTATTTCTGTCATGTATTCAAAGGCATGTTCAGAAGTATAGGGTTTTAGAAATAGGGATGGTACTTATTAGGGTTTCCTCTTTGATATGGAGATGAAATTTAGGGCTTGAATTGGGAGTGGAGTAAAATAATGTTCCTTCAAATATGAGGTGTTTGGTTAAAAAAGAATGAAATACTAGGATTATTATTTGGTGTTTTAGTTTGTTAACATAACATATAAATAAGATACCTAATCAATTAAACATTAGTGTTTATAGTTTACCTATGAAATTCTCTATATATCTAATAGGGAAATTATATTTTAGTTTGGCTTTTTCTGTGCTGTGCAGATTTAAAGGTGAAAGTGGTTGTCAAATTAATCTGCAAAATTGTACCATAGTAAGGATGACCGTTTTACTCTGAAGCTAAATGATTCACTAAATCTTGTCTACAGTGTATTGTAAGAGTTAAAATGATTATTCCTTCTCACCTTAACGTTAGATCCATGATAGCTACAATGGTAGTCTAGTAATCATCTTTTAAAGGATTTCTAGCTAGTAGGACATGTTTACACCTGAGGAAATTTTAGTACTGTTACTACAGCTTGCAAGCCAAAGTTATTTATGGCATTCTGGAAGTTCGATGTTTGCTAGACTTAATAAAGCTATGCCAGGACAGCTGAGAAGAAGTAGGCTTCTTGTTTAATCAGCTGCTGTGGAGTTCAGAGTCCAAGTTTATTGCATGTGTTGTAAATGTACTGTGAAATAGGTCCCCTGATTGCATTATGGAATAATGGATTTCTGGAAACCTAATTTCATGTCATATCAGGTTCTCACATAACTATTACTTTGTAGTGATTCTTTGTATATCGGGGAGGAGAGAATGGTGATTCAGTTCTTGATTCCAGGAAAAAATAAGGCTTGTGTTTTCTTTTCCTAAGACCATTTAGAGGAATTGTTTTCTCAAGCAATATATATTATGTTTTGAAAAATAAACAATTTTGCAACTAAATGTGAATTTTAGGTCACCAAAGGTTTATATGTTTGTTTACTAATAAATTACACAAAAGTATGCTTCTGTGTAAGTAATTAATATGTTTCCATTCAGAAGCATCTGAATCAGCTATTTCTGCGAATTATTAGCAGATATGGAACTCTTAATTTTTCCTAGTTAGCAAATGAAACCTGGAATACCTCTCCAACGTTACCTACCTACTTTTTTTTTAAGAAGATAAAATCTTATTTTTATTATTTTTAAATTTTTTTAAATTTTTGTGGGCACATAGTAGGTGTATGTATTTATGGAGTACGTGAGATACTTTGAAACAGGCATGCAATGCGTAATAATCACATCATGGTGAATGGGTTATCCATCCCCTCAAGTATTTATCCTTTATATAACAAACCATCCAGTTATACTCTTTTAGTTATTTTAAAATGTATAATTTAGTGTTGACTATTGTAACCCTGTTGTGCTATCAATAGTAGGTCTTATTCGTTATTCCTATGTTTTAGTACCTATTAACCATCCTCACTTCTTCTCCACCCCCACTATCCTCCTCAGCCTTTGGTAACCATCCATCTCTCTATCTCCATGAGTTCAATTATTTTATTTTCTAGCTTCCACAAGTAAATGAGAACTTTTGAAGTTTGTCTATCTGTAGCTGGCTTATTTCACTTGACATAATGACCTTGGTTCCAGCCATGTTGTTACAGATGACAGGATCTCATTCTTTTTATGGCCGAATAGTTCTCCATTGTGTATGTGTACCACATTTTATCTGTTCATCTGTTGATGGACACTTAGGTTGCTTCAAAATCTTGGCTGTTGTGAACAATGCTGCAGCAAACATGGAAGTGTAGAAATCTCTTCTACATACTGATTTTCCTTCTTTTGGCTATATACCCAGCATTGGGATTGCTGGTACCAGAGGATCATATGGTACCTCTGTTTTTAGTTTTTTGAGGAACCTCCAAACTGTTCTCCATAGTGGTTGTACTAATTTACATTCCAGCCAACACTATACCAGGGTTTTCCTTTCTCCATATCCTTACCAGCATTTGTTATTCCTTGTCTTTTGG
The DNA here is from genome assembly GCF_000001405.40 of Homo sapiens. Classification (NCBI taxonomy): domain Eukaryota; kingdom Metazoa; phylum Chordata; class Mammalia; order Primates; family Hominidae; genus Homo; species Homo sapiens. Next base: position 167,715,743 of record NC_000003.12, on the reverse strand, counting down.
TTAAAAGCCATTTTAATTGGGATGAGGTGATACCACATTGTAGTTTTGATTTTCATTTCTCTGATGGTCTATGATGTTGAGCACCTTTTCATATGCATGTTTGTCATTTGTATGTCTTCTTTTGAGGAATGTCTACTCAGATCTTTAGCCCATTTTAAAATTGCATTATTAGATTTTTTTTTCCTGTACAGTTGTTTGAGTTGTTTATAGATGGTGGTTATTAATCCCTTGTTAGAGTGACAGTTTGCAATTTTCTCCCATTCTGTGGGTTGTCTCTTCACTTTGCTGATTGTTTCCTTTGTCTGCAGAGCTTTTTAACTTGATGTGCTATTTGTCCATGTTTCCTTTGGTTGCCTGTGCATGTGGGGTATTATGTAAGAAATTTTTACCCACACTATTGTTCTGGAGAGTTTTGTGGATGTTTTCCTGTAGTAGTTTCATAGTTTGATGATTGAGTTTTAAATCTTTGATCCATTTTGATTTGATTTTTATATATGGCAAGAGATAGGGATCCACTTTCATTCTTCTACATAGGAATATCCGGTTTTCTGTGCACCATTTATTAAAGGGACTCTTTTCTCCAGTATATGTTCTTGGGACCTTTGTTGTTATTGAGTTCATTGTAGGCATATGCATTTGTTTCAGGGTTCTCTATTCTGTTCCATTGGTCTGGTTTTTTTTTTGCCAGTAGATGGCATTTTGGCTACTATAGCTCTATAGAATAGTTTGAAGTCAGGCAGTGTGACTCTTCCAGTTTCATTCTTTTTGGCTATTCTGGGTCTTTTGTGGTTCTGTATAAATCTTAGGATTGTTTTTTCTATTTCTGTGAAGAATGTCATTGGTGTTTTGCTAGGGATTACATTGAATCTGTAGATTGCTTTGAGTACTGTGGGCATTTTAACAATATTGATTCTTCCAATCCATTAACATAGAATATCTTTCCCTTTTTTGTGTCCAATTGCCTTCGTCAGTGTTTTATAGTTTTCATTGTAAAGGTCTTTTAGTTCCTTGGTTAACTTAATTCCTTGGTATTAAATTTTATTTGTGGCTACTGTAAATGGGATTACTTTTTTAAATGTTTTTTTCAGATTTTTCACTGTCGGCATATAGAAATGCTGCTGATTTTTATATGTTGATTTCATATTCTGCTACTTTACTTAATTTATCTGTTCTAATAGTTTCCTTGTGGAGTCTTTAGGTTTCTCCAAATATAAGATCATATCATCTACAAACAAGGATAATTTGACTTCTTCCCTTTCCAATTTGGATGCCTTTTATTTCTTTCTCTTGTATAGTTTGCTCTAGCTAGGACTTCCAGTACTGTGTTGAATAACGGTGACAGTGGGCATCCTTGTCGTTTACCACATCGTAGAGGAAAGGCTTTTTTGAGAGTTTTTATCATGAAGGATGTTGAATTGTATCATATGCTTTTTCAGCATCAGCTGAAATGATCATATGATGTTTGTCCTTCATTCTGTTGATAAGATGTATCACATTGATTGATTTGCATATATTGAACCATCCTTGCGTCCTGGGATAAATCTCCTTGGTTATTATGAATGATCTTTCTAATGTATTGTTGAATTTGGTTTGTTAGTATTTTGTTGAGGATTTATTTATCAGAGATTGGCCTGTAGTTTTCCTTTTTTGATGTGTCTTTGCCCAGATTTGGTATCAGGGTAATACTGGCTTTGTAAAATGAGTTTGGAAGTATTCCCGCCTCCTCTATTTTTCGGAATAGTTTGAGTAGGGTTGGTATTGGTTCTTCAAATGTTTGGCAGAATTCAGCAGTGAAGCCATTGAATCCTGGGCTTTTCTTTACTGGGTGATGTTTTTATTACAGCTTTGATTTTGTTACTGGTTATTGGCCTGTTCAGGTTATGGATTTCTTCCTGATTCAGTCTTGATAAGTGGTATATGTCTGGGAATTTATCCATTTCCTCTAGATTTTTCAATTTATTGCCATACTGTGGCTCATAGTAGCCACTAATGATCCTTTGAGTTTCTATGGTATCAGTTTGTAATGGCTACCTTTTCGTCTCTGATTTTATTTATTTGGGTCTTCTTTTTTTCTTAGTTGGTTTAAAGTTGTGTCAATTTTGCTTATCTTTTCAAAAAACCAAGTTTTTGTTTCATTGATATTTTGTATTTTCTTTGTTTCAATTTCATTTATCTCTGATCTTTATTATTTCTTTTCCTCTACTAATTTTGGGTTTGGTTTGCTCTTTTCTGGTTGTTTAAGATGTGTGTTATTTGAATTGTTTGTTCTCTTTTGATGTAGGCACTTAAAGCTATAAACTTCCTTAGTACTGCTTTCACTGTATCCCATAGGTTTTGGTATGTTGTGTTTCTGTTACTTGTTTCAAGAAATTTTTCATTTTCTTTCTTAAGTTTTTGATTTATCCACGGTTAATTCAGAAGCCTATTGTTTAATTTCCTTGTGTTTGTATAGTTTCAAAAATTTCTCTTGTTACTGGTTTCTAGTTTTATTTGATTGTGTTTAGAGAAGATGTTTGATACTAGTTGAATGTTTTAAGACTTGTATTGTGACCTAACATATGATCTGTCCTTGAGAATGATCCATGTGCTGGGGAAAAGAATGTGTATTCTACAGCTGTTCTATGGAATATTCTGTTTAGGTTCATTTGTCTATAGTGCAGATTTAGTCTGATGTTTCTTTGTTGATTTTCTGTCTGAAAGATCTGTCCAACACTGAAAGTTGGGTGGTGAAGTCTCCAGCTATTATTGTATTTTGCTCAGTCTCTCTATTTAGTTCTAATAATATTTGCCTTATATTTCTGGGTACACCAGGACTGGGTGCATATATATTTACAATTATCATATCCTCTTACTGAATTGACCCCTTTATCATTATATAATGACCTTGTCTCCTTATAATTTTTGTCTTGAAATCTGTTTTGTCTGATACAAATACAGCTGCTCCTACTCTTTTTTTGGTTTCCATTTGCATGGAATATCTTTTTTCGTCTCTTTATTTTGAGTTCAGATGTCTTTATAGGTGAAATGTGTTTCTCGTAGGCAACAGGTTGTTCTTGTTTTTTAATCCATTTGCCACTCTTTTTCTTTTGACTAGTTTAGTCCATTCACATTCAATGCTATTATTGATAAGTAAGGACTTACCTCTGCCATTTTGTTACTTGTTTTCTGGTTGTTTTGTGGTCTTCTCTTCCTTTTTTCCTTCCTTTCTGTCTTCCTTTTAGCAAAGGTGGTTTTCTCTGGTGGTATGTTTTAATTTTTTGCTTTTTATTTTTGGTGTATACATTGTTTTTTGTTTCGAGGTTATCATAAGGCTTGCAAACACTATCTTATTACCTATTATTTCAAACTGATGTCAGCTTATCACTGATTACATAAATAAGCAAAAAGAAAACTAATAAAATCTCTATACTTCATTACTGTCATTTTTTAGCTTTTGAAATAAACAAGCAAAAAGAAAACTAATAAAATCTCTATACTTCATCCCTCTCATTTTTTAACTTTTGTTGTTTCTCTTTACGTCTTATTGTACGGTTTGTCTTGAAAAGTTGTTATAGTTATTATTTTTGATTGATTCATCATTAGTCTTTCTACTTAAGAGTAGCTTGCACACCACAATTACAGTATTATAATATTCTGTGTGTTTCTGTGTATTTACTATTACCAGTGAGTTTTGTACTTTCAGAAGATTTTTTATTGCTCCTGAATGTCCTTTTCTTTCAGATCAAACTCCCTTTGTTATTTCTTCTAGGACAAGTCTAGTGTTGATGAAATCTTTCAGCTTTCATTTGTTTGGGAAGGTCTTTATTTCTCCTTCATGTTTGAAGGATATTTTTGTTGGATATTCTAGGATAAAAATTTCTTCCTTCAGCATTTTAAATATATCATACTACTCTCTCATGGCCTGTAAGGTTTCCACTGAAAAGTCTTCTGCTAGGCAAATTGGAGCTCCATCATATGTTATTTGTTTCTTTTCTCTTGCTGCTTTTAGGATCCTTTATGCTTGACCTTTGGGGGGTTGATTATTAAATGCCTCGACACAGTCTTCTTTGGATTAAATCTTCTTGGTGTTCTATAACCTTCTTGTACTTAGATGTTGATATCTTTCTCTAGGTTTGGGAAGTTCTCTGTTGTTATCACTTTGAATACACTTTCTACCCTTATCTCTTTTTCTACCTCCTCTTTAATGCCAGTAACTCTTAGGTTCACCATTTTGAGACTATTTTCTAGATCTTGTAGGAGTGTTTAATTCTTATTTTTACTTTTGTCTCCTCTGCATTTTCAATAGCCTGTCTTCAAGCTCACTAATTATTTCTTTCACTTGATGCATTCTGCTATTAAGAGGTTGATGCATTCTTCAGTATGCCAGTTGCATTTTTCAGTTCTAGAATTTCTGCTTGATTTTACAAAATAATTTCAGTCTCTTTGTTAAATTTGTCGGATAGGATTCTGAATTCTTTCTCTGTGTTATCTTGAATTTCATTGTGTTTCCTCAACACAGTCATTTTGAATTCTCTGTCTGAGAAGTCACATATCTGTGTTTCTGCAGGATTGGTCCCTGGTGCCTTATTTAGTTTGTTTGGTGAGGTCATGTTTTTCTGGATGGTCTTGATGCTTCTGGATGTTCGTTGGTGTCTGGTCATTGAAGAGTTAGGTATTTATTGTAGTTGTTGCAGTCTGGGCTTGTTTTTGCCCATCTTTCTTGGGAAGACTTTCTAAGTGTTCTGAGGGACTTGGGCCCCAAGCTCAATAATGCTGTGGTTCTTCCAGTCTCCTAGAGATACCACCGCCTTGGTGGTGTTGACTAAGATCTGGAAGAATTCTCTGGATTCCCAGGCAGAGGGTCTTGTTCTCTTTCCTTACTTTCTCCCAAACAAATGTAGTTTCTTTCTGTCTCTCTGTGCTGAACTTCCTGAAGCTGGGGGAGGGGTGACACCCCTGTTGCCACCACCTCTGGAATTGCACTGGGTCAGACCTAAAGCTAGCACAGCACTGGGTGTGACCCAAGGCCTGCTGTAAACACTACCTGGCTAAAGCCTGTGTTCACTCAAGGCCCTGTGGTTCTACAATCAGCAGGTAGTGAAGCCAGCCACATTTATGTCCTTCCCTTCAGTATGATAATTTCCCCAGGCCCCAGATGGTCTGGAGATGTGCTCTGGGGGCCAAGAATTAAGAGTCAAAAACCTTAGAAATCTACCTAGTGTTCTTTCCTACTGTGGCTAAGCTGGCACTGAAAGCACAAGACAAAGTTCTTCCCATTTTTCTCTCTCCTTTCTACAGGCAGAGGAGCCTCTCTCTGTGGTCACTGGCACATGGGGAGTTCTGCTAGGCCATGGTTGATGTTCACTTAAAACCCAAGGGCTCTTCAGTCAGCCTGTGGTGATTGCTGCCGAGCCTGAGCTTCACTCTTCAGGACAATGGGCTCCTCTCTGGGCCAGGACAGGTCTAGAAATGCTGTCCAAAAGCCTAGGCCTGGACTCGGGGACCCCAAGATCCAAAGTGGTACCTAAGATGTAAGACAAAATCCCTCTTATATTTCCTTTTGCTTTTTTCAAGCAGGAGTCTCTCACCATAGCCACCACAGTGAGCTGGGAATTTGCTGGGTTTCACCTGAAACCAGCATGTCTGAATCTCAACCAAGGCCTACAGTGTACTACCTGGGTATCGCTGTTGTTTATTCAGGGCCCGAGTGGTCTTTAGTCAGCAGGCGATGAATCCTGCCAGGATTGGATCCTTCCCTTCAGGGCAGTGAGCTCCATTTTGGCCCAGGGTGTGTCTAGAAATGTTGTCCAGGAGATAGGGCCTGGAATGGGGTCTCAGTACTCTGCCTGTTGCTTATCCTACTGTGACTGAGCTGGTATACAAGATAAAAGACACACTCCTGTTGCCTTTACTTGTTGCCTTCCTATCCTGAAGCAGAAGGAAGGAGTCTCTTATTCTGTGAGCTCTGCTGCCTGGGACTGGGGGAGGAGTGACACATCCATTCCCTTGGTCGCCCTGTCTGGTGGGTCTTTTGGTTGCATGCTGTCCTAGTCCACTGGCTCTAAGCACAACACTAAGACGTGTCCAGGAATTGCAGTCCTTGTGTCCTAGACTGCCTTTCAAGTTTATCTGAGACTCTAGAGCACTTTAGCCCTTGGTGGCAAGGCTTACTCAATTTCCAACCTCTTGGATCGGTGATTCTCCTCTGACCGTGTCACGTCCAAATGCTACCTTTTGTGGGTGGCTGCTAGCTGAACCCAGCACACTTTTGCTCTCCACCGTGATTGATCAGCACTAAGTTTAGTACAAAGTCTCCCAGTTGCTGTGCTCTCTCCACCCAAGTGCACATATTCTTTGTCCATGCCACACAGCTGCTATTGCGGGATGGGGGGAGGGGTGGCATCAGTGTTTCAAGATGGTCTTTTCCACTCTCTTTATTGCCTCTTTCAGCAATATGAAATTAAAACCAGGTACTATGATTGCTCACTTGATTTTTGGTTCTTTGGCAGTGCTTTTTTGTGTGTAGTTGGTAAAATTGGTATTCCTGCAGAGGGGACCATCAATGGAGGCTTTGATTCGGCCATCTTGCTTCGCCTCCCCTCTTAGTTTTTTTTTTTCATGTTAAGATAAAATAAACCAGACCTCAAACTTTGAGCATAGTAAACATTCTTCACAATGCAGGTAGGGATTTTATCTGCAATCCTACCATCAGGAAGTGATCATAATTAGCATTTTGGGTTTGAATTATTGCTCTTCTTCTTAGTAAGCTATTTAATCTTATCTGTTTCCTTATTTATAAAATGGGGATAAACAGTGGTGTACTTCACTATCTCAACAACTCTGTGAAATAAGTAAGTTGATGTATTGTAAAGTGTTTAAAATAGTACTAGTTGTATAGTAAGTGTTAGTTATTGTTAAGGAATCTTTCGCATATATTTCACAGTTTTGTATACTTGGAGGCAGTGTTTTAATGGAATATTTTTATAATAGGTGGTTCTGCTTACCTTTTTTGCCAGACAGCTTGGCAGCCCACAGAACTGATTCTTTTAGAAGCATGCGTTGAACTTCACATGGACAAATCTTTCTCTGTGACAGTTCAAAAACTAATAAGTGACTTCTTGATTCCATTACTTCTGTCTTTCTAGCAAGCTTGTTTACTTTTACCTGGCTCACCTCATTTTTATTTGAATTTCAGGAGATGTATTTGAAGTTTTTATTCTTGTAAGTTGGCCCAGTTTAGTTCTTTTTAAGAAATAAGATCAACAATCTGTTCACTGTGGGTAGGGAGAGGGGCGTGAACATGGAAAAATCAAATCTTGCCTGATTTTGAGGAAGCAAGTAGATTTGTACACAATTCAAAACCAGTTAATCTAATTATTTTGACCTTTAAAACAAACAACAACAACAACAAAACACACAGCTTTCACAAAAGTGTGAAAGCAGGAGTCTTTTAAAACTTGAGTAACCAAAGGGCTAAATGGCTTTTTTTTTTTTTTAATTATGGTTTTAGGAAACTTGATGCTGGAAAAGTGTAGAAGAAACTGATACTTTTGGAGAGAGCAAAACAACAAATGTCCTCTCCATGGAATCTGAATTATATGGAAGCTTTTAAAATATTTTTATAAGTGGACCAGAGTAAATTTGCCTGGTTTGTGGTTGATAGTAAGTGTAAGTGTTCTTAAAGGCTATCAACAATAAGTTACAGAAGGAGTTCACAAAACAGTAGGCAGAATGGGGGTTGAGGTAAGACCTCCTGTTAGGCTTACCCAGCCTATCCATTGTCTCCAAATGTGCTTCAGGAGGCACTTTTCCTTCTCTTTTAGGAGAGATGAAGTATGTTACAAACCTTTTCTCTCACTCTGATTCTCTTATTTTCTCTTACTCTTTTACTGGTTACATGGACATACTGTGTAACTGAGGCCCAAGCAGTGCTTCTCACTGTCGCAGTATCCATTAATGCAAGGTGCAGTCACAATTTCCTCCTTCAGGGGACCCAAAATACAGTGTATGCACTGTCAGTTACTACTAAGAAGTTTATTGTGTTTAATCTGTTTTTTTTGTTTTGTTTTGTTTTGTTTTGTTTTTGAGATGGAGAGTCTCGCTCTGTCGCCCAGGCTGGAGTGCAGTGGTGTGATCTCGGCTCACTGCAAGCTCTGCCTCCCAGGTTCACACCATTCTGCCTCAGCCTCCCGAGTAGCTGGGACTACAGGCACCTGCCACCACGCCCAGCTAATTTTTTTTTGTATTTTTAGTAGAGACTGGGTTTCACCTTGTTAGCCAGGATGGTCTCGATCTCCTGACTTTGTGATCCGCCTGCTTAGGCCTCCCAGAGTGCTGGGATTACAGACGTGAGCCACCGTGCCCAGCCTTACTGTGTTTATTCTTTAAAGTTACCCTAGCCAAAGACGTTATCCCTAAAGCTCGGAAAGTGCTGGACTCTAAAGAGACTGAAAACAAAGTGGAAATTTTCTTTCCTAAATTTACATGAAATCATTACATTCCATGTGTTACCAACCCTGAAGAAACTTCTAAGTGGGAGAACTCCCCAGGAGGATGATTTTAAGAGGCCGGAACACACTTTTTAAAGATCAGTTCAAATCCCATGTTTATAAAGACTTCTTTCTGCTTCAACTGATGGCAGTCACTCCACTTTTCATATAGCTGCTTCACGTTGTACATGTAGGAACTCAAGTACATGGTAGGAACTCAAGAATATGTCAGTCCTTAAAGAACCAGGTTGAAGATATTCAGTGACAGAGTGGACTCCAGTCTGGAAGAGTGAGTACAGGGAGTCAGGGTAGCATTAGTGGCTTGTATACAGGATTCAGAGTCAAACTGAGTTTCTTCCTTTGTAAAATGGAGAAGAAGATAACATATTTTGCTACCTAACTAGTACAGGCTGAAATTATAAATAGATTTAAGAACAGTTTAGATAAATTTATGGATAAGAGATTAAATTCAGTTCAAACAATGGATATATGCCTGGTACTGTCCTGGACACCATGAATATATCAATACCATATGAGGAAGAAAGGCTTTTGACTTTATTGTAAGGCCTATGGGTATATGCAGTCATGTGGCACATAACATTTCAGTCATTGGTAGATGGATGGCATATATGATGGTTGTCCCATAAGATTATAATTGAGCAGAAAAATTCCTCTCACCAAGTGATGTTAAAGCCATTGTTCATTGTAGCGCAACATTACCTCTTTTATGTTTACATACACAAATACATAGTGTTACAGTTGCCTATAGTAGTTCAGTAAACATCAGGTTTGTAGCCTAGACACAGTAGGCTGTATCATACAGCCTAGGTGTGTGGTAGGCTATCCCTGTAGGTTTATGTCAGTACACTCTGTGATGTCCACATAATGATGAAATCACCTAATGACATTTTTCTCAAAACATATCCATCCCCATCATTAAGCGATGCATGACTACAGTGTATCTCCAAGTGACTCCCAACAGAATTTTGGTGAAGTGCTTCTCAGCTCACAGATTTTTGATTTAGTATATGTCTGACCTTCCTGTGACTTATTCTTTTTGTAAGGTTCACGTAATTAAAATGAGTCTAGAAATCTAGAGATGCTGTTACCTATCTCAGATAATCTTGTTAGCTCTTCATGAACTTTCTGGGCACTTTTACTTGTCTGGATCCTTTCACATACCATTCAGGGCTATACAGAGTGAACTAATAACGCTGATACTTGAAGGCACACAGCTGACTCAGACCTTTTTAAAAGAGGTCAGAGTGTGGTGTAAACCTAAGTAAGGAAATGGGTTCCTATCAAAACAGAAACATTCATTCTTTATATCTGTCCCTGCCTTTCTTGAATAACAAGAACTTGAGATCTAATGAGCTATATTGTTATTTTAATCTTAGTAATAGTCACTATAATTATATTAATTACTTGGAAGTAGGAAACTTTTTTCATTTTTTGGAAACATATCTTTGTTAATTATGAACTACTTATATAGTTATTTCTTTCTACATTTGTTTACTGGGCTGTTTATGCCTTTTTTATCTACTGAGGCAATATTAGATTTTACAAGATTTGTTAGAAGTCATGTTAAATATTAAGCTAAATGGTTCATTGTTTTTTGGCAGATAAATTATCTTGTCAGATTCTGTTGCTTTTGCTTTGTGCTTAAAGTTAGTCATTTGTAGGGAGTTGCAAGGTTCTTGGCATTTGTAACTGTCTTGTTTAGAAAATAAATTGATTTAATGTGTTAGAGATCCCATACAGGAGATTTCTGAAGCAAAACTTACACTTTTGTTGCCTCAAGGGAAGACTTTATTGCATAATATGATATATGTTCATAAGGTTTGTGTAGAAATATTATACTTGGTAAAAATCTATATAGATTACATTGTTTCCAATTTAATATTGTCCCAAGTAAAAAATATATACAATTGAGTTTTATTGAGTTAACTAGCTCAATCCTTAAGGACTGAAAAAATCAGAATTTAACAGAAGCTAGGTTTTTTAAGCCTGGCAGTTAACTCTTTACAAATGGAATTATTTTTATGAAATTATGAAATTCTGTGCCTTTGGTTCACTGAAAACTGAATTAACATGTGTAGTAAGGATGTTAATCTTTTGAAATTATAAACCTCACATGTTTGATATAAAAATTAAAAGCATATGGGTTGCTTTTAATTTTTTTAATAAAAAATTAAGGACATATATTTTTTCATTGAAAATTTTGATAGCCTAATTGAAGAATTACGGTGATGTACAATTGTTAACAAGAATGTTGATTAAATGTTTAATGTGTTCATGTGATTGCTACAGAATGGAATCTCAGAAATGTGCTTTTTCCAAGAAAGTTGATATTCATAATAATTTAAAATTTTTATTGCAGCTAGAACGAGTAAATCTGTCTGCAGCCCAGACACTGAGAGCCGCTTTCATCAAGGTGAGGTGCAAATAATTTACTATGATTATTAAAGTGTATGTTCTTTGTAAATGTAAGTACATGTGATGGTTGCCAGTTTATTTTCTTTAAGGGAAAGCCTTTTTAGCCATCTTATGCCTGTTTTACTATATTCCATAAAGCTTAAAACACTTCCAAAAGATAAACTAGAACAAATGTTATTTCGTTAGCATTCATCTTTTCATCACTTTGTGCTTTTGAAACTGAGTTTTTCAGAGTGTTCTCTCCTTAGCTGTAGATTATATTTTTGAGGGTTTTTTTTTTTTTCTATTATTTGACCTTTTGAAAACTTATATGGCTGGGCGTGGTGACTCATACCTGTCATCCCAACACTTTGAGAGGCTGAGGTGGGAGGATCACTTGAGACCTGGAGCTCAAGACCAGCCTGGGCCGTATAGCAAGACCCTGTATCTACAGAAAATAAAAATATTAGCCAGGCATGGTGGTGCGTGCCTGTCATTCTTGCTACTCAGGAGGCTGAGGCAGGAGGATTGCTAGAGCCCAGGAGTTTGAGGTTACAGTGGGACGTGATCATGCCGCTGTGATCCAGCCTGGGTAACAGAGCAAGACCCTGTCTCAAAATAAAGTAAAAATTTAAAAGTATTTGTAAAAGTGTAACTTGAAAAGGTATTCTTTCTATTGTTTAATTATAGAACATGAGTCTAAAAAACGTTTTTCAGTGGGAAAGTAATACCTTCAAATATGGTGAATTAAATATACTTTGAGGATATACAGTTAAGTTACTCAAAATAAATGTTTTCCTTGTCTTTAGACTTGAGCTGTTCAGTGGGTTATCACTAGCCACATGTTGCTTTTGAGCATTTAAAAATAAGACTAGGTCAGATCAAGATATGTTCCAAGTTAAAATACACACAGATTTTGAAGACTTCATATAAGAAAAAGAAAGTAAACTAGCTTAGTAATAAATATTTTATAATGATTACATGTTGAAATAATATTTTGGATGTACTATTAAAATAATTTTACCTGTGTCTTTTTACTTTTTTTTAAATGTGGCCGCTTAATATTACATAGGTAGCTCATAGTTGTTGCTGATATTACATTTCTGTTGTACAGCCCTACTCTAGAGACTTACTGTACATGTTGAATGCATTCTTTAATATAAAACTTTTATCTGGTCCTCCATCCCAAATATATATTATGGTGCCCAAAACTTTAATTTTTATTTTTGCATTCCTTCCCATCAGTAGCTCAAATAACCTGTGTTTTAGGTAAAGTATTTTAATGTTTAAATGTGGAATACATTTATATTTTAATTGGAGTTGAAACTATAAGCCCATTCTGCTTGATTTCTTCCATGTCACACAAGTTTATTGATAACACTCTTTTCTGGTAGCACAAGTCATGTCACTAGGTATCTCATATTACTTTAATAATCTACATTACGTATGTTAGAATAGAGCTTTTTTGATTTAATATTCTGTGATTCAAGGTGAGTACATATATATTTAGTAGCTTCATTAAATTGCATCCTGCCAAATCATTGGGTTAATGAAGCAACACCATAATCATTTTCTTTTTTTTTATTGTTGTTTTCTTCTTTGAGTGTCAGTTTGGCTTTGGAATGGCATATTTGGTCATTAGGGAGACATGATGCTATCTTAAGCATCTTTGTGGCCAAAAGAAGAAGGAAAAGTAATCTGTACAGTAGTATTGCTAAGAGAAAAGTCAATATTTCAGCTTTTCTAATGCCAGGAACAGAGAGAAGAAGACCCTGTCCGAAGGAGTAGATAGTATCTTCAATGACATTCATAAAATAAAATAATAAATTTCCTGAGGGTTTTTCTTGTAACATCCTAACATATAAGCTAATTATCTAACACTTAAGTACAATTATGTGACCGTGATAGATGTGGTTTGATCCATGGATAAAGTTTGTTGTCTATGGCATAGATTACTTATTTTGGAAGAAAACAAAGTAACTAATTTTACACTGATGTATTTTTAATTATCACATTTAGTTTGTTACATTTCAAGTGAAATTGAAGGAGGACATGTTAAAAATGTAAAGATGCTTGTATTTTTTAAATTACAACTTTTGAAAAAGATGAAAGAAACCTCACCAGTCATAAAATCTTTTATATTCATAATTCCAATTATTGGTCCGCAACGACAATAATTTTCATCATGGTTTTTGTTATTTGGAGGGAAAAGAGGATTAAAATAGTTTTTCCCAAGATAATACCATTGAATATTTTAATGTATATACAGTTAACCTTTGAACAGTGTGGAGGTTAGAGGTGCTGACCCCCTGCAGAGTTGAAGATTTGAGTATAAGTTTTGACTTCCACAAATCTTAACTACTAAAAGCCTACTGTTGACCAGAACATCTTACTGGTAGCAAAAACAGTTGATTAACATATGTTTTGTGTATCCTATATATTACATACTGTATTCTTAAAGTCACAGAAAAGAAAGTGTTATTAAGAAAATCATAAGAGAAAATATATTTATTATTCATTAAGTTGAAGTGGATCATCATAAGGTCTGCATCCTTGTCGTTTTCACATTGAATACGCTGAGGAGGAGGAAGAAGAGAAGGGGTTGGTCTTGCTAGCTCAGGGATGTCAGAAGTAGAGAAGGTGAATGGGGAGGCAAGAGAGGCAGGCACACTTAGTGTAACTTTACAGAAATATGTTTAATTTCTGACTTATTTGCTTTGTCATTTCTCTAAAAATGTTTCTGTACAGTACCAATCTTCCAACATTTGCTTTAGTTTCAGTGCTTGTATCAGAGAAGGGTCCATGTCATAAAGCAGCCTTGAATAAAGAGAACTCTTCTGCTGGGTTGTCTAATGTCCATTTGTTTTCTGGCACTCCTTTGTCTTCTTCCTCATTGTCCATTAGCTCTTAAATTTCTCTGATATCCATATCTTGAAACCTTTCATCCTCTACGTTTTTTTTAACCATATCTACAATCTCTTTCATGATTTCCGTGGCTCTGTTGTAAATCCTGTGGAGTCATGCACAACATGTGGACACAGTTTTCTCCAGCAGAAATTTATTGTTTTAGGCTCGATGGGTTTTTCTATAACAACAGTAGCATCAGTGGTGTAATTCTTCCAGACTTTCATGGTATTCTTTCTACCAAGGATTGTTGACAGCCATTTCCATAGAGGCCTTATGGTTCCATGTATAATGAGCTTTAAAGGTTCTTGATCCCCTGATGTAGAGGCTGATTTAGAGGTGTGGTGTTTTGGGACAAGTAGGCCACTTTGATGCCTTTCAGTGTTGAACTCATGGGGTTCTGGGAAGCAAGGGACATTATCCAGTATCAGAAGAATTTTTTTGAACAACAATAATAATAAAGGCTAGGTGCGGAGGCCCATGCCTTGTAATCCTAGCACTTTGGGAGGCTGAAGTGTGAGGCCAGAGGCCAGAAGTTCAAGACCAGCCTAGGCAACATAGGAAGACCTTGTCTCTAATTAAATATACAATACATATATATGTGTGTGTATGTATATGTAGATATCTCTGATATCTATATATATATCTGATATCTCAATATATATCTGATATCTGTAGATCTAGCTATATAGAGATATATAGGTATCTCTATAGATATATATAGACAATCAGAAGAACTTCAGAAGACCATCCCTTCCTGCCAAGATGCTTTCTAACCGCAGAAACAACGCATTGATGGTACCAGGCTAGAACAAGGGTTCTCTTTGTCTAGGTCTTCTTGTACAACCACAAGACTGGAAGCTGGTGTTTTTCTTCTCCCTTCAAGGCTTGAGGGTTTAGCAGCATTATAAATAAGGACAGTCCTGATCATAAACCAGACTTCATTTGCACAGAACAGTAGAGTTGTCCTATCTCTTCCTGCCTTAAATTCTGGTGCTCACTTCTCTGCTTTACTAATAAATATTCTTTGTGGCTATTTTTTCCTTCAGAATAGGGCACTTTGATCTGTATTAAAAACCTTTTCAGGCAGATATTTTTTTCCTCAAAGATTTTCTTAATGGTGTGTGGGGACTTATTTGCTGCCTCTTGGTCATCAGAATCTGGGTCTCCTGTTATCTTGACATTTTTTAAGCAAAACCTCTTTCTAAAATTATCAAACTATCCTTGGCTGGCATTAAATTCTTCAGCTTTAGACTTTCCTTTTGCTTTAAGTTGTCATAGAATGACTTTGCTTTTTCTTGAATCATATTAGGGTCTATAGGTATGCCTTTCTTATAGATATCCTGCACCAACATAAAAGCTGCATTTTCAACAGGAGACAAAAAGGTATTTCACAAAACATGCAAGGTTTTTGTACCTGCTGATGTAGCTGCAGCAATGGCTTTGTTTCATGAATTTCCTTTTTTTTTTTTCTTACAGTGAGTCTTAGACTGTATTCAAGCAATTCAGTATCATGCAATACACCTTCTTGTAATGTCATGACTTTGCTTCTTGAGCACACTTCCAACATCACTAGTGGCACTTTGTCGGGTCCCATGGTATTATCCCATGTTTAAAGTATTGCACTAAACACGATGAGAAAAATATGTGAGGGCTGGGAGGTATTACTTTGTACTGGGATGTGCAGTTTGCTGGAGAGATGAACTGTTCACATGGAGTTGATTAGAGTCACATGGCGTTTTAATCATATACTTACTAATACTTGAACTGACTGCAATAGCAACAGGAGGTGGCTTCAAACTTATTACATATACACGTGTACTACAGTTAATTTTGTGCAGTTATGATTTAATATTGCATCTGTATATTTGTTTATATTTCTTTTAACTGCAAATAACACCATGTACAGTCTGTTTGCGTGTGAGTTTTGATAAATTTTAACTTTTTAATAATTTGTATCTATTTTATAGTAAATACTAAAATAGACTAGTGGATAACTATATTTTATGCATTCATAACATGTGTTTTTATTATTTTTTTCACTACTTATAGGCTACTCAGTTTGTCTATAAGTTTTTTCAAATTGTTGCTGATCTCCAAAAATTTTTCCTATATATTTATTGAAAAGTATCTGCATGTAAATGGACCTGAGCAGTTAAAACCAGTTCTTCAAGGGTCAGCTATATTCTACTTGATTCCCTCTCCCCCTTATCCTCTATGAGAGGTTCCGATAGGTTGTCCGTCTTCCAGACTGAGAATCACTGATCCACAAGAGTGTATGTTGCTGCCCTTCGGTTTATTTTTTTCTTACAGCTGGATTCTTTACAAAGATTAGACACCCTACAGGGTTCATGTTGTATTCTGAGGGAAAACCTAAGAGTTGTAGATTGTCTCCCTGATTTAAGACCATATTTATTCATTTTGTCAGTCAGAGCCATTTGGTAAATTCAAGCTTTTGAAATAAGAATTAGCTTAACCAGGTTTTTAGCCAGGAGGTACTGAGACTACTCCTTCCAAACTATGTACTGAGGTACCTGGTGGCCCATAGCAAATTCAGAGGGGTGCCACGAAGTATTTTAAAATTGTGAAGGTGTACAGTGATACTCAACATCTGTTTGACACTGCATGGACTCCTAGCTTGAGATGGATTGCAATTTAGCATATTGGATTGTCCTTCACTGCTTTCATTGGTGTTAGATCATTGAGAAGCTGGACTTTTTGGCCAGTGCTATGATCTAACAGAAGTACCAGAAAAAAATATATCTGCAAGAGGAAATGAGAGGGGCAAGGTCCAATCTAAGACCAATGTTTGAGAAATTATGAAGTGCCCAGTAGGCACACACATCCCAGTAATAAGTGACAATAGTTATTTAAGAACAGAGTAAAAATTGTTTTTTTCAATTTATGTGTATTATTTTTTTAAAGGCTAGGTAGTTAGGACACTATACTTATTAAGTTGTTTAGACCTAAGTATTTAATAAACAGCACTGTGAGGTGTATCTTTTGGCACTAAGGACACTGAAAACTGAGAAAGTTAGGGACCTTTGTGAGACTTTTGTAATGCTCTAGCTTTAGCATTTTGGGGTCCCAGACCAGCTTGGTATTGAAAACTTTATTCTCAGACTTTCAGCATTTTAACCTTTCAGTACTTTATTATAACTTAATCAGAGATATGCTTTTCTTTTTCTGTCCCCTGCAAGCACATAGAGAATGTTCCCCCTCTCCCCAAGATAATTCATTATGTAGGAAGATTTATTGCTAGATAAGATAAAGTATTGTTACTGAATGCTACATTATATGTAATTTTGTGGCAGTTCACCGCATTAATGCTATAACAACACATCTTAAGCCATATTTGGACATCTTATAAAGGAAACTCCTTTTTTAAAAAACACAGTTTTTTTTGTTTTGTTTTGTTTTTAATACGAGGTCTTATTCTGTATCATAGGCTGGAGTGCAGTGGCATGATCATAGCTCGCTGCAGCCACGAACTCCTGGGCTCAAGCAGTCCTCCCATCTCAACCTACCAAGTAGCTGGGACCACAGCCACACCCCACCATGCCTGGCTAAAAAGTAGATTCTTTTTAAAATATATATCCATGGAAGGAAAAGTCAACATAGGCTGTAAAAGAAACAGGATTCAGTCAAACACAGTTTATTGTTATTAATCATCTATCAAAATGATTTTCCTGAATAGTATCTGACAGCATTTAAAATGATCCGAAGATTGGAATAAATGCGTGTATTTTCTTTTCTCATTTCATCCCACAACCCTTCAGTTTTTGATACTTGAGATCTAATGAGAAACAAGATGTTATAATGGAAAGAGCAATAGGAAGAGAAGAAAACTGTATCTGCAGTGATAATCAATGGAATTGAAGAGGCGGAGGTTAAGTGTGCTTGACACATAAGGAAACAAAAAGATTGCCATCTGATTAAGATCGTAAATTGTGTTTCTATTTTGCTGTTTAATATTAGGGCAAAAAGGAAAGAAAATCATCAGCATAATGATTAAAATTGGCAGGCATCCTACAGGAAACAAACATCAAGTGTGATTACAGAATTTACTGGGAAAAACTGAAATCTGAAGATTAACTCTGGCTTTGGTAAACTCAGAACTCTATGCCCAGTCTTGAAATGGCTAGAAAATTTTAGTGTCTTGGGGAGTCTAAGTAACATAGAACCAATGCAAACTCAATGAAACAAGCTCAAAAGGTAGTAAAAGGTTTCATGATGTTCTAGAAACCAGTGAAGGAAATATTCTTGCTACAAAAATAAAATAGGAAATGAAAATCATTGTGTGGGAAAATAGTTAAGGTATTATTATATAGGTTCAGTAAAACCTTCAAAATAAATCCTTTTTTGTTTTTCCTGGCATTCTCTTAATATAAATGGAAAGAATATGCAAAACACTAGTCAGATGAGTTATTGCTTGATCCTTGAGTTGCAGTATTAGCACATTAAAAAAAGCTTAAATTCTCAAGATATTTAAAGTAATGAGAATAGCAATTGATAGATTACTAAAACATATATAATCCTTAATTCTATCTTTGTTATTAGTTCAATTGCAAAAGAGTATAAAGAAGAGTAGAAAATACTAAGTTCTTTCTGTTCAAATGGAAAATGGAACCTTAGTCATAGTAAAGAGTCGGGTGCACAAGCTCTAACAAAGCCTTAGTGAATGCTATCATGACACCTGCTTTACAAAGATTTCTGCCCTTAAAAGTTATCAGTGTAAGACGCTCCCAACAGATTCTAAACAATTAAACTTTGGCTTTAAAATGTTGATTCCTTATCTGTATTTCAAAACTAGTTTTCTCTTTATTATAGGCTGAAAAAGAAAATCCAGGTCTCACACAAGACATCATTATGAAAATTTTAGAGAAAAAAAGCGTGGAAGTTAACTTCACGGAGTCCCTTCTTCGTATGGCAGCTGATGATGTAGAAGGTAACGGACAGAAGAACCTTGTTTAAGTTATACAATTGTTAAATAGCACTTCCTCTAAATCATTATTATTTGACCAAAGGATCTTCCTTCCCTACTGTTTTCCCTCCCTCCCTTTCACTTATGATGATGATGGTGGTGGTGGTGATAGTGATAGTGGAAGCTAATGTAGATAAAATAGAAAAATGGTTTTTCTTGCTTTTTATATTTGTGAGATTTAATTACTTGAACTTTGTTTATGCTGCATACTTCAATTTTTCCCCCCTTTATGTTTGGTGAGTTTCAGTTTTACTAAAAGATAAGCTTATTTGGAATGTGTTGACTTTAAGCAAACAACAGTTTGAAAGTAATGAGGTTTTTGTTTTGTTGTTTTTTTAACTTTAGTACAGCATCTGTGTTTCAAGCACAGATTTAAGAGAATAATATAACCATCCTTTTTACTTTTCTTATTTTTTTTACTTGAAATTATTTAGACGTTGGTTTTACTTAAGTTTAGTAGCAGTTTTCCCACTAATTTAGAAAAATATGGACATATAATTTCCCAGAATTATTAAGGAAGAACACAAAGCAGGTATTTTAACTGATTCCATGATTTTAAGAAAGCCCTTATCATTATTTAGAGTTGAGCATTTGCAGCCCATTAGGCCATAATATATTGATGAATTGGTAGAGTTGTAATGCTTCCAAGTCTGCAATGAATCTAGTGAAGTCTCCTTTCCAAAATTGGTGTTCTGTGATCCCAGCCTGTGTGTTGGATTTGTGCTGGTGTTTTTGTTTTTAAGTGAGATTTCAAAAATGTGTAGAAGATTTTATTAGATTATTTGGGGTTTTAATATGATGAAGCAATGTATATTAAATATAGGGGTTTTAAATTTTTAATCTTTCCAGTTGGCAAGTAGATATTACCTTTGCACTAGTTATGACACTCATTATTTAATTTAAGGTTTCCTTGGGAAATGTAATGTCAGAGTACGGTTGAACTTAAGCCTCCCTTTTAAATCTGTTTTTTTTTTGTGTGTTTTTTTTTTTTAAGATTTCATGGGATGTCCTTTTGTCCCAAATTGAAAATATTTATTCTTTCTTTTTGTGATACTTTACTTGAAGGGAGCCCTGCTGTTGTTACTGGACTAAGTCAAACGCTAATGAATTCTGCTTTGCAACCTTGTCTTTCCTAATTATCTGGCCTTTCACCTCCCTCACCTGCCTTTGACCAACATTGGAAATTCTTAGATGTGATGAATTTGGCAGAGAGTCGCAGGATGTTTTTTATTATGTATTTATTTTATCAGAGTATATGATTGAACGACCAGAGCCAGAATTCCAAGACCTAAACGAAAAGGCACGAGCACTTAAACAAATTCTCAGTAAGATCCCAGATGAGATCAATGACAGAGTGAGGTTTCTGCAGACAATCAAGTAAGCAATTATTTGTTTTGTTTCTTCTTTTCTTAAAAGTACTTCCGAGGAACTACTCATCTACATTTTTTAATTTTGGTATGACTAACTTGAAATGCTTATTTGAAATAAAATCTCAAATTTTTAAATACCACATTTTATTAACTTTATGGCGTTTGGTTTCAGAGTACAGCATTTTTTAGAATGTTTAATTTTAAAACAACAATGAAATGTGCATAAACTGGAATGTAGTTTGAACTACATAAATGATGGGAAGATATAAATGTCAGATAAATGAATAGAGAAACTGGATATATCCTAGAGATTGGTAGTAAGATATACCAAAATAATTTTTATTTCAGAAATAGCAGCAGTCATTAAGGTAAGTAACGTACTCTTAGGCATGAGTAGTGTTTTCTAAGACTGACCAAATAGCCTCTAAATCCTTGCCTTTGGGGGATATAGGTTAAATAAGACCAAGAATACTCATGGGGCCAGAAGGCTGGCTGGTGAGCAGCAGCAAGAAGGGTCATCCTAGAGCAGTAGTTCTCAGACCAGGGACACTCTTCTGGAGTACAGTGAAGGGTGAGAGGGTAGGGGATTGAGTGAAAACATAATCCCTACATAAGTATCTTTAAACTAGAAAGTCTGATAATTTTCTTCAGCCTCAGTGGATAAAAAACAAAGAAAGCTGGGAATACTTGCAGTGTCACTATCAATGCATGGTTTTGGTGAAACCATAGGTAGATATTGCTGGGGAGAAAAGATTTAGCGCAGGTCTTTTTCTGGAAGAGGCTGTGACATATGTGGTAACTTTGAAGAACCTAAGGAGACTCACTTGGAATAAATAGTAACATTCATCTTTTGGAGTTTGGGCAGTGGGAGGAGTGGCAGCAGCCAGGCAGCCCAGCTTTGTGAAGGCCCTCAGCATGCCATGGCCCACATGCATCTGATATGCGCCTTCCCCACTTCCAGGATGCCCAAGAGGACGGTCAGCTCAGCTGATGGGACAGTGAGGGAAGATCCCAAAAGGAGATTGATGTGGTTGTCAGCTAAACCTGCTCTTTCAGTAGTGGAAATTGAAGCCCCAAAAGGTAGCAGGAAAAGATAAATCTTCAGGCAAAAAAGTGCAAACAAAAGAGAAAAGAGTAGGAAAGTGAAAACAAGCCAAAGTAGCTAAGAATAAAGATTTACCTGCAGAAAACAGAAAAACTAAAACTGAAGAGAGTCCAGCCTCTGAAGCAGGAGAGAAAGAAGCCCAGTCTGATTAATATCGCATACCATGTCTTATCAGTGGTTCCCCGTCTCTCTTCTTACATAATCCAGGAGAATATTTTTATCAACTATGTTGTAAATGCATGTTTTTTAGTAGCTCTAATGTTTTTTAATAGCTCTAGAAACATTTAAGGAGGGAATTCCACTGCATTCCATTTTTTAAGTGTAAATGCTTTTTTTTTTAAAGAGGTGAAATAATTTAATTTGCTGGTTATTTTTTGGTACAATGGGAAAATAATGTTGGATATTGAATTATGGGAAGCCTTGACTGTTATGGGTGTCAGCTTAACATTCCATAGATGGGTGGTTAGTTTTTATATCCCATAATATAAAGCATACTAAATGGCAAAGTGGAGTCGCAGTCCTGCATTTCATGTCTTGAACATTTTTAATTACTTCACTCTGTCACCCAGGCTGGACTGCAGTGGCATGATCATAACTTACTGCACCCTCAACCTCCTGGGCTCAAGCAGTCCTTCCACCTCAGCCTCCAGAGTAGCTAGGACTACTGGTGTACAACACCACACCAAGCTAATTTCTTTTTTTTTTTTTTAATTTTTAGTAGATAACCACATCTCCCTACATTGCCCAAGCTGGTCTCTAACCTCTGAGCTCAAGTGATCCTCCTGCCTTGGCCTCCCAAAGTGTTGGGATTACAGGAGTGAGCCACCACACCTGGCCTTAAATTACTTCTACTCTTCATGTTGTTTTTTAGTGGAATTGTTTCCTTGGGCAAACCACTCCTTGAGCCTGGCTCTACCTATCAGAATTGTGTGCACTCTGTAACATCTTTGGTCATGGTAGTCCTGTTTTTCTAATAACTTTGTTAATGTGCTGTGAAAGATTAAAGTATATAGTGTATATGCTATTAAATTGTGAATTGGTGGGACGTATGTGACAGCTTATCAACATTTGAAGGTACTGGTACTTGATAGCCTTTTAAGGTAATTTTGCCTCAGTTGTAAGCTGGAAAGTCACTGGAATAACTTTAGAGAATAATAATGATACGTGGCTTTTTAGATTTTGCAGTACATATGTTCAGAATTATGTACAAGTTGAAATGTCTGTGTACTGATCCTCAACACAACTGATGAAATCTCAATTATGAAAGAAAAAGAAAACATTCATCTTTTGAAAATAGTATTCTTTGTCATTCACATTGAGAAATGCTATTTTAGCTTGTTTGGATACCTAGCTAGTTTGGATACTCTCTTTTGAGTCACATAAAGAGAGGAATATGTCCCATAGAAAATAATGGTTCGTGATAGGTATGCAACCCAGCTATCAAGGAATGACCCTACTCTTTGACAATAATTAAGGGCCAGGAATATAAAAAAGGCTTTTAATTGAATAGCCAAAATCTGTGTCACAAGGGACAAACACTAAGGGTTTTTTTGTTTGTTTTGTTTGTTTGTTTTGTTTTTGAGACGGAGTCTTGCTCTGTCGCCCAGGCTGGAGTGCAGTGGCGCCATCTCGGCTCACTGCAAACTCTGCCTCCCGGGTTCATGCCACTCTCCTTCCTCAGCCTCCAGCGTAGCTGGGACTACAGGCGCCCGCCACCATGCCTGGCTAATTTTTTGTATTTTTAGTAGAGATGGGGTTTCACTGTGTTAGCCAGGATGGTCTCGATCTCTTGACCTTGTGATCCGCCTGCCTTGGCCTCCCAAAGTGCTGGGATTACAGGTGTGAGCCAACACGCCTGGCCTAAGGGTTTTGTATTTTACCTTTCCTATGGGAAAGCCCCAGCTTCCTTTTCTACTTTTAATATGTGAAGGAGGAAGATAATCAACTGTTCATGGAGTTTTATTTTTAATCTGGTACAAGTTGAGCATCCCTAATTTGAATATCAAATTCTAAATGCTCCAAAATCCAAAACTTTTTGAGCACCGTGACATGACACCATAAGTGGAAAATTCCACGTCTGACCTCATGTGATGGATGGGTTGTAGTCAAAACACAATCAAAACTTTGTTGTATGCACAAAATGTATGCATATATGGATGCACTTTATGAAACATAAATGAATTTCATGTTTATACTTGGGCCTCATCCCCAGGTCTAAAGACTTCTGGTCTCAAGCATTTTGTTTAAGGGATACTCGCCCTGTATAGTTAAAGTAAACATGTTTGGCCTGTAAAAGGATAAATTGTCAGTGATCCCAAACTTAGTTGTTTAGACTATTTATTTCTAAAGTTTTGAAATAATTTGGTAAGTTTTCATTTGCTTTGATAATCGTGTACTTGTTGATGAGCCATGACACATTTCTATGAAGATTTGACATTTAAAATAATATTTGCAGCAGATTTTGCTTCAGATCATCGAAGTAGGTTTATATAATCAATGTCATCTTAATAACAATCATTTATATAGGACTTATTATATGCTAAGCACTATTTTAATCACTTTACATTTATTTACTTATCACAACAACCCAGTAACAAGTGAGGAAATTGAAGCAGGCACAGAAAATTAGGTAAGGCCACAGAACTTACCTATTAAGTGGTAGAGCTGGATTTGAACCCAGGCAATCTAATGCCAGGTGTTCACTGCTGTTTCCCAATCACAGACTTCCAATGTTGATGTAATCTGGAGATTGAAAAATAGAGTTTCTGCCATTTGAAAGAAATGTGAAAAAGGATATTTTAACATAGAATGCCAGTACGTGAGAGAGATAACAGTATTGTGGTTGAAACTGGCATAGAAATGTAGGCCCAGAGCTCTCATCCTGTCACTTTGACATCCTCTTTCCCCCTACAGAGTCCCTGAGACATCTCTGCTAAACCGTCTGTGACTCTAGGGAGCTGCGGTTTGAAAACCACATTATTAGCAGCACATTTTAGTCATAAGGAAATTGAGCTTAAGAGTCTTGTCTATAGTCATTGACAGAGGCTTTCTTTAGGGTGTTGTTTTCTTTATGAGGGAGTAATAATACTTCAGTTCTGTTTTCTAGAGTGTACTAATTTAGCACAATTGAATTAAGAGTAATGGTGGCAATGAAAATTTACTTCCTAACCATTTGAGGAGGGATAATTTGCCCTGGCAAGTTTGTTGATATGTATGTTATTTCTGAGACTAAAATTCAACCACATATGAATAGCATAGATAGGCTAAAGTATAATTATTTGTATCACTGTCATATATTGGTACATTTTCATGTATGTTCTTACCATTATTAATTGACAAATTAGTGGATAAAATTGCACTAAAATAGAAAATGATTTCTTCTTCAGGCGTTTCTCCAATATTTTACTTTCTTATATCTAAGGTAGTTATCCCCTTTATTCATTTTAGCAACATTTTTCAATAAGCATATGTCATATACATATTACACCAAGTACTATAGGTGATGCTATAGATTGTATCAAAGTACAAGTAAAAAAGAATCCTGACAGCTAATAAATATTCAGGCAATTTTGAATATATTAGCAGACCTAGATTTGAATCTGTGTTCCAACATTTAGCTATGTAACCTTGGATATAAGTTGCTTAACTTCTGTCATTTTAGTTTGTGCCTCTGAAAATGAGGGTAATGACTTGTGAGAATTGAAAGAAATGATGTACATGAAGTGCCTAGCACAGAACCTAGCATACATTCAACAGTACATGCTATAATAACATTGTGAAATGAGGATTTTCCTCCCTTTTCTCAATGGAGTTGATAAGGAAAAATGATCCAGCAAATATTTCAAAAGGCCTTTTGATCAATGAATGTGTGTGCCTGAGTACATTTGAGCTATGCAAATATGTTATAAAATTAATTTGTATTTTTTTTGAAGTCCAATACATCTCAACTAATGGAAAACTAGTGGAGACTCGTGATTTAACAGACCAAAATAAAAAAGCCAGGCATTTATTTACTGTTTGTAATCTGCATTTGCATATTCTTAGGCTAAAATTCAGCAAGGTTTATTTGTTTTAAGTTAGGAGTTTTCATGAAGGGTTCAGAATAGATTTTTTCAGAGTTTTCCAGTCTAAACCAAACTCAACATAAAGCACAGGGATTCCCTTTCATTAGTGCATTTGCATAAATGCGTATCATGCAAATTTGGGTGGCATGATTAGAAACTCTACTTTTCTATTGCAGTTTTTTGATAAGATGTATGTTTACGTTTCATCTGAAGCCTTTGCCTTTCAGTGTAATGTTTCGCAAAGCTGCGCTATTAGGTTGGTGCAAATTGCTAAGTTCCTTCTCCTTCTACTCATACTATCTGCCTCTTATCACAGAATTCATCTGCACCAAGCCGCATTCATTAGTTATGCGATATTTATTTTACCCTCAAGTTTTTTCTCAGTTCTTTATCTGGTTAATTGTCTATAGTGGTTTTTTTGTCCTGGTATTTTCTCTCGTAGGAAACAAACTCTCTGGTAGTTACTAATATAATTTAGCTTCTCTATGTGCACACCTTGGTGCCATAAATGAAAATACTTTTCTGTGTACATATGGATAACATAATATTTGACATACATTGCTGCAGATTGTTTCTAGAGAACATTTTTTCTACAATTTGGTAGGCATTTAACAGTCTTTTGCCTCGTGTCCAAACAGAGGCTTAGGAATAAATGGCCTTGGTTGACAGAGAGCTCTGTTCCAATAAGGCATTAAACCTTAGCTCCAAGTTTTCAAACCTGACTCATCAGCAGTCACCTGAGGAGTTGCGCCTCCCCCCACCCCCTTTTAAAATAGAGATTTCCAGTATTTATCAGCAGGTCTTTCTTTTTTTGTCCAGCAAAACCCTCCCTTCTTCTCCCCTGTGTTTTTGTCTCCCTAGGTGCATGAGGCAACATGTTTCAGACCCACTCTTTTGACTTGTAGAATCTAGCCACTGTTATTGTATATGAAACATACGCTCATTTTGATGACTAGCCCCGGAAACACATTTTATTCCTCTTTAGCAGAATATTGAAATACACTACAAAGTAAGACTATATAAACTTCTGTCTGATCACTATGTAATTTGCTCCATTATATTCCATTTTAAATAACTCCATTGTGGATTTGGAGAAGCTTGCATATTTAGAGATTTGACATGTTTTATTTGTTGAAATTGTAATTTTTCTCACAGAATAGTCCTATGACAGCATTTTATTAAACAATAGTGGGTTTATGTCCATCACACCAATATACAAAGATTCAACTTAAGCCATAAATGAAAGGAATAGTTATCTAATTAAAAACTGCTGTTACTAAACCAGAGGCAAAAAAAAATTAGATAACATTTATGTAAGACTTACTGTCCTACTTGAATATGTAATGTTTCAATGTTTCAGCCCAATACCAGTGTTTGACCTGAGAGAGGTAATAAGTAAAATATTATTGAAATAATCAATGAAAATGGAATTACTACTTCAGAGTACTCTAAAATACTTTTTTAAAAAATATCAAAATTCTGTATGCTTTTAATTCTTAAAATTTCTACAAGCTTATTTACTGAAAAATATGCTGGGAAACACCCACATGCACACAGAAACCTGGACACTGAGGTTTTTTTCCCCTTGAAATAGGAATGTTGAAATGTTTTAGATAGGAAATAACTGAAATCTGGCATTTGTAATTAGTATTAGTAATAAAATGTTATGTTTAGGATGGTGCAGATTTCCATCTTATTCATTTCTTCACAGTTGCATTGCATTTGAAGTTTTTGTTGTGACTAACAGCTAAGAGAATGACTGTGAAAAAGAAGGTTTGTCGCAGAGAATGTGAGACTATTTGAGAATGCAGAATTACATCAAGTTCAATTTGGCGGAAAAAAATTGCTATGAGGTTAAAATGTGGAAATCAAAAGGGGCTAGTTAGAAAGGCAAAAAAAAGTTCAGAAAAAATGGTGCATGGATAGGAAGAACAGTCAACTCAAATGAGAATTATTCATTTCTTCTTTTTTTTCTTTAGAAAGGGGAGGGAGGTGATGATGCATATATAGTCAAAGGATGATTGCTGGGAAGGTTAAAGTGCAAGAATATTGTGATGTTGTCTCCTCTAGTAATTTAAATATTTTCCAAAGGGAATAGTGACTGATAGTAAGTGTTTGAAAGAGGAGGATATTTGGCTGCTAGATAGAAGCTAAAAGTGTCTGTAAAAGAGTAAGGGAGGAAGAATATTTCCTCAGGGGAGAGGAATATTTTCTGAGGAGGAAATATTTTATGTTAAACATCAAAACTAATAGGTATCTAGCATACAGCATTGTTAAATACAGAATTGAGTTATATGTAATGCAGAATATTATAAAATTGTTCCTTGTTCAAATAACAAAAGTAGAGAACATGGTAGCTTGAATTTAGCTACATTAGCCAGAGCAAAGAAAAATTTTAAAATGGGAAAAGACAGGCATAGGTAATGTTTATCTTTTTATAAATTTGAGTAAGGAACGCTTAATGAAATGTGATTGATTTGAGAAAGTTGGTCTTGGTTGGCAACCTTTGGTCAGCAGTGCAAGAGAATCAGGATTACAGAGGGGTATAGGCTAAAATCCCCACTCCAACCAGCTAGCCGAAAAGGCTGGCTGTTCTTGAAGTGATTGCGCTTAACATAATTAAGAGTGTACTGTGATTAGATTAAGAGTGTACTTAATTTCTTTCAAATGTAGCTGATGTTCTTTTCTCTCACAAATTTCTTTCAAATGTAGCTGATATTCTTTATTCTTTTCCCAACAGGGATATAGCTAGTGCAATAAAAGAACTTCTTGATACAGTGAATAATGTCTTCAAGAAATATCAATACCAGAACCGCAGGGTACGTTTAGTAGAAGCCTTGCTAGTTGACACCCTAGATGTTGGTTTATGCCTAGTTGTTTTATTGACTTAAAAATAAGATTGATTGTTGGAAATAGTTTTGTGTCATTAACCATTGAGTTTATTCTTGAATTTAAATATGCCTTTTTATTTAAAAGTGAGTACTCCACAATTGCTTATTAGTAATATTCATATAAAGTGCATCCCATATCCTGTGTAATCTCTTGTCCTTGCCTTTGGCTTTTGTGATTATTTCTCTTATTTAGTACTTTATTTCTTATTATATTTTGTGACTGTAGGCACTTGAACACCAAAAGAAAGAATTTGTAAAGTACTCCAAAAGTTTCAGTGATACTCTGAAAACGTATTTTAAAGATGGCAAGTAAGTACTGTAATTTATCCTTTACTTTTAAAATTAAATAGATTATGTGGTTTTATATGATATGAAAACCACATAAATTAAGCCCTTTTATTTTATTATTAGTACTCCAGGCAACTGATAATGAAGGCAGACCATTAACAATAGAAAATGAATGGTTGCTAATCTAGCCATAACTCCTTTCTAGAACAGGAGTTATCAGACGCTTTCTGAAAAGAGCCAGGTAGTAAATATGTTAGATTTGGTGGGCCTGTTGCCGTTATCCACCCATCTCTGCTGTTGTAGTACAGAAACAAGCCATAGACAATGTACAAACAAGGGGGTGTGACTGTGTTTTAATAAAACTTTATACAAAATTCAAATTTCAGTATCTTGAAATAATTTTTACCTGTCATATAATATTCTTCTTTTGTTTTTTAACCATTTAAAAATGTAAAAGCAATTTTAGTTCATTGGCCTACTTTATACACTCCTGAAACAGTGGTTCTCAAACTTTAGTGGCATCAGAGTCATCTGGAGGACTTGTTACAGTCAAATTGCAAATTGCTCGAGGGTCCCACTTCTAGAATTTCTGATTTCGTAGGTCTAGGATGGAGCCTAAGAATTTGCATTTCTTAGAAATTTTCAGGTGATACATTACAGGTCTATTGAGAACTACTGCACTAAAGTTAAAGCAATAGTTGTCAATCCTTTCTGTGCATTAGAGTCACTTGAGGACAGTTTTTAAAAAATTCCCACTGCCTAGGCCCCACCTGCAGAGATTCTGATTCAGTTGGCTGGGAGTGGAGTCAGGGTTTAGATATTTTGTAAAAGTGCCCCAGATGTTTTTAAAGTGCTGTAAGGGTTTTGACCCACTCTCCTGGAAAGAGGCTTTCACAGCATCATTCTATAAAATAGGAAATATACTAAAATGTAAATTGGACATTATTTTTTAATTTATATATAATTGGTTGTGATGCACTATAGAAAACCAAGAGATTTTATATATTTTAACATACATACATGCATACGTATAATGTATAAACTGATGGAAAGTCTGGCCGTATAGGTAGTTATTTGCACTTCAAGTCAAATGTGAGAATTTTTTGAACAAGATTATTTTTTAACAGTGCTTAAAGTCAGAAAAGTAAATAGAGACCTCAATCATTCCATCCTGCTATTCAGGTTTTAAGATCTCTATATTCATGTCACATCATTACAGTATTATTGTAGTAATATTTAAAAATGATAAAAATACATTAGATAGAATTATGTTAATTTTCAGAGTCATTTTTAACAGTTCAAACAGGTTGAAGTATTTACATTTATATTATGAATTAGAGATATCGAGCTAAATTTTATTACTTGTTTTGTGGTGGTGTTCCATACACAGGTTTGTCTAAGGGAAATGCTCCTTGATGACTTAGTTTAATAAGCTGGCATTTGTGTTTTGAAAATAAACTTTTATTTGATTTATGCTAAGCTCAAATAACCAAAAACACATTAAAATAATAATTTACATGATGGGATTATTATTTCTGATTTTAAATTACTATTATGGAATAAGCACAATGAAAGGTAGACATTAATTTAGAGACTAATTTTCATTAATTAATTGAAATTATTTACTCTGCATATGGATTCAGTGTCGTTGCTACTACTTTCTCTCCATTCAGCAGCTTTTTAAAATTCCAGTTCTTTGTGTATCAATAATGTGCTTGAGTTTTATACCTGTTTCCTCAAAACAGAAAATTATTGATAGAACCTGATCTTTAGGCCATCTTTCAGTAGGGGGATGGATTTGCATTGATTCAGCTATTTCTTCCTGGCCCTTCTCTTTTTTTTTTTTTTTTTTTTTTTTGGAGACAGAGTCTTGCTATGTTGCCCAGGCTGGATCTGGGCTCACTGCGACCTCCAGCTCCTGGGTTCAAGCAATTCTCCTGCCTCAGCCTCCCGAGCTGGGATTATAGACACATGCCACCATGCCCGGCTAATTTTTGTATTTTTAGTAGAGACAAGGTTTCACCATGTTGGCCAGGCTGGTCTCACACTCCAAGAGACCTCATGATCCGCCCACCTTGGCCTCCCAAAGTGCTGGGATTACAGGTGCGAGCCACCAGGTCCAGTCCCTGGGCCTTCTCTTTTGAGAAATGTCTAGGATGCGGGTGCATGCTAGATATGATACTAGGAAACTGTTGAGGCCACACAGTGGGACTAGGGCATCATCTCTGAATCCCAGCTGCATGAAGATGAGCCATTAGGAGAATGTGGTGGGGCTCAAAGCCAGTTTTAAAGAATATATTTTTATATGTTGTCAGCTCCCAGATTTTGAAACTGCATGATTATTTTGTTTTAAAAGTATGTTTATAGTAAAAGTAGTTTGTAGTAGTTTGTAGCTTAGAATTTCTACCTTTTTTTAAGGAGATAAAGAGATTGGGATGAATCAGATTGGAAGTAATTAGATTTTTCTTGAGTATTATGCCCATTAATTACAAATTTTGAGATTATGATACTTTGCTGGATTTTACTTGTTAACTTCTATGAAACCACAGCTGGAGACCACATCTGAATCCTCCTTTTGGCCAGTTAACTTGTTCCACCTATAAATGAACTGGGTTGTTGAGGCACTATCATTAGCAGTCCTCCAACATTTTATTACCAGTCAGAACCACCAGGGGGCAGTAATTACTAGATAGTTTAAAATGATGCAAGACTATTATATCCTAAATTGGAATAAAAGTTTTAATAATACTAACTTGTCTTTTTTTTTTTTCTAAAATTGATTCCATTGCTACTGTTAATAGTATAAATCTTAAAAGGGTGAATTTTTTGGATGAAATTAATGCTTATTCTTTTCTTTTTAAACAGGGCAATAAATGTGTTCGTAAGTGCCAACCGACTAATTCATCAAACCAACTTAATACTTCAGACCTTCAAAACTGTGGCCTGAAAGTTGTATATGTTAAGAGATGTACTTCTCAGTGGCAGTATTGAACTGCCTTTATCTGTAAATTTTAAAGTTTGACTGTATAAATTATCAGTCCCTCCTGAAGGGATCTAATCCAGGATGTTGAATGGGATTATTGCCATCTTACACCATATTTTTGTAAAATGTAGCTTAATCATAATCTCACACTGAAGATTTTGCATCACTTTTGCTATTATCATTCTTTTAAGAATTATAAGCCAAAAGAATTTACGCCTTAATGTGTCATTATATAACATTCCTTAAAAGAATTGTAAATATTGGTGTTTGTTTCTGACATTTTAACTTGAAAGCGATATGCTGCAAGATAATGTATTTAACAATATTTGGTGGCAAATATTCAATAAATAGTTTACATCTGTTAAACATTTCTTTACTTGAAAAAATGCATATATATATGTGTGTATATATATATATATATATATATATATGAACAGAAGACCAAGACAACTTGGTGTAATGTCTAAAAAACTTCTAATGGGAGCTTATCAGCAGTTTATCAAATAATAAAGCAAGAATTTCTATTTTTGTCCTTAATCACTTTGGACACAGAGTAGTCAATGGAAATATTTTTGTTAATTACTTATAAGGTACTGAGTATTTTTATATGATTTCCAACCTGTTTTAAACGACTTATGAGTAAGAGATAGCATTTTCTAGTGTTTTTGCACTATAATGCCACTTTTTGAACTCTTGTGACAAATGTAGATTTGACTCTTAAAAATTAAGCCTTTCGTATACTGGGCCCTCATAAGCTTTGCACAATTTTTTCCCAAAAAATAGCCACAATTAATAGTAATTTGAAGCTATATCAACGGTTGGATTGAAATTGTCATGAGTGTTAATATTATATACACTCTTCAACTAGGTACAGTTTTATTTCACCATAGAGAAGTTTTAAGGAAATTATGTATCAAGTGTTCATGTTAAGTGGTTTCATTTTTCAATTATAAAATAAAGGGAAAAAATCAGAATTTGCTTATCTTTTATAAAGATTTTAGACGTTAAACTAAGTTTCTGTTGACAGTATATTTTTTTGCTGTTA
Organism: Homo sapiens; assembly: GCF_000001405.40. Taxonomy (NCBI): domain Eukaryota; kingdom Metazoa; phylum Chordata; class Mammalia; order Primates; family Hominidae; genus Homo; species Homo sapiens. The sequence goes on along the minus strand of NC_000003.12, from coordinate 167,683,226 downwards.
TGCAACTCAAGTTATTTTATTTTTTCTCCATTTTAAAAAACAGATTTTTAAAGAATTATCATTGGCACCATAAAAGTAGAACATCCTGTTAAATGTAAATGAAAATATGTTGAAAGGAGCAAAAAAAAATAGGCAATTAGATGAAAATTGGATGAAATCTCTTAATTAATGAACATTTTACTGACCTGATTTTTTTTTTTCTTCAAAGATATGTAGCCAGTAAGACAAATAGAATGCTGATCTTTATTTATTTTTGGCATAAACTATCATTCACTCTTGGAGGTAGATGGGTGATCATTTGCCGAATAGACTTGTGGATATATGAAGAAAAAAGACACTGTTTTATTTGCAGCAGACTTTTTAAACATCATTTCTAACATTATCTAACATCATCACTCCTTCTGCTGTCTTTACCCTCCTTTAAAAGAACTCAAGTTACCAGACATGCCTCAAATCACCTGTTTTTATAAGCCTTCCATATTATTCTACTATCCATTATCTCTGGCTTCTGTTTTCATGAAATATTCCTCCACAAAGGAGGCTTATTCTTAGAGTACTTTAGTTTCTTATGTGATCCTTCCAACAGGGCTGAGTTTGTGTTAAAAGAAGGCCAGAGTGGCCCCAGTTAGATTCATTTCCAGAGAACAGAAAAGTGGCTTCAGAGGAAAGGAAGAGGAGGAAAACAAATTTGTTGAGCACCTTCTCTGTGTCAAGCACTAGTTACGTTTACATAATTCTCTTAACAGTCCTATGATTTAGCTATCTTACAATTGAGGAAACTGACAGAGCTTAGGGTACACAGCTGGTAACTGCTAGGGCCTCAGTTTAAATTTGTGTCCAGATTCCATGTTCTTTCCACTGAACTGTACTCCCTCTATTACTGAAAATACGTCTTGTTTGGGATATTAGTTCCCAAACACCAATTTGAGAAACCTCTCCCTGGTCCACAGGAAAATGAGAGAAATTAGAGCAATGTGATTGTTTTTTCATAAATCTAACTGTACTCATTTTAAAGGATCATGGAGATTATTGCTGTTTTAGATGTTTAAAATACTGTCTTTCCACACTTGTAAAAAATGTAGAGTCAGTTTTTTTAAAATGACTTTTAAAAGCCTAATCAGGCAAAACAGGTTGAGAACTTGTTATTGAGCTGTCTTAATTGATTTAAACGTTTTATATGGAAATAATTTCAAATTTACAGAAAATTTGCAAGCATAAGAATAGTGCAAAGAACATCTGTATGTCCTTTAAAATTCAACTATTATTCAGATTTTACCCTCTTCATTTTATTGTTTGCTTTTTCATTTGTCCTTCCTTAAGTCTCCTTTACTGTGGATCATTTCCATGGCCACCTTGGTCGTTTATAGCATTGAATCGGATTTAAGGTATGCATTCTTGGCGAGAACACTCTGTTGATGGTACTATGTCATCATGGTATGATATTGGGGGCACACAATGTCTGTCTTATTGGTGATGCTAATTTTGATCACCTGATCAAGGTAGTGTTCAGTTTCTCCAATGTATAGTTACTGTGTTTTACATTGCGATTAATAAGCAACCTGTGGGAGACTCTCTTAAGTCCATGCTAACAACATTTTCATCCAGGATTTAGCATGCATTGATGATTCTTGATTATTCAGTCTTCAACTTCAGCATTCTTTCCACATGTACCAGTTGGCAATTAATATTTTATTGTAAGCAGGAGCCCTCCTTTCTCCCCTGATCCATCCATTCATTCATCCATCTATATCCATCTCATTTTTACATCTGTTATTGTTATAAACTCATGCTTTTTAATGTTTTTTTTAAAATTAATTTTACCATACTTACTTTGATGCTCAAGTTGCCTTAGATTTGGTCAGTAGAAACTATTGAGCTGGCTCCCATGTCCTTGTGATATCCTCTGTCGTTTGTTTGAAGCACTTCATAGGTTATATAAAAGATATTCCAGGATTTAGAGTCAGCAATTTCTCCATAGAACCCTAGGGAATATTAGATACCTAGATCTGGATGCTGGGTATACTCATTGCTACTGGATGTCTGTTTCTAGGCTATTCAGCAGACAGAACTAGAAAAGTCAAGTATGTACAGTTGGCCCTCTGTATCCATGGGTTGTGCATATGTGGATTCCACATCCCTGGATTCAACCAACTGGGGATCGAAAATATTCAACACAATAAAAGATAATACAATGATAATTTTAAAAATATGGTATAACAGCTGTTACATATCATTTACATTGTATCAGGTATAAGTAATCTAGAGGTGATTTAAAGTATATGGGAGAATGTGTATAGGTTATATTCACATACTGTGCCATTTTGTTTAAGGGCCATGAGCATCCTCAGATTTGAGCATCCTCAGGTTTTGGTATCCTCCGGGGTCCTAGAACCAATCCCCCATAGATATCAAGGCATGACTCTACATTAACACTCAAGATATGCATGTCAGGTAGCATTTAGATGTGTTTATATACATGTTATGTTTGATTTCAGAAATGAGTTTATACCAGTGCCTCCAATTTCAGTCTATTATCACAGGATTCTTTCTTACCTTCGCTATTCCATATTTCTATGTCACTCCTTCCTCAAAAGTCCTGGATTCCCCCAAAAATCAATCAATTTGTTCACTCTATTCTATAATGTATCTGAAATAATTTTAGAATTGCTTTTGCCTATATCACTGTAAAAACAAGATTTATTTGCAGTTATCTACCTATATCTTGCTCAAGATTAAGGATAATGGCTACATTGTGCATTTATAAATTATTTGTATTATTTTTTTCTCCTTCACTGTGATTATGTTATTTGAAAGACAATTGAGTTCATTTTCTCAATTTGCCTTCAGGTTTAAACTCTTTCTCCCAAACTCCTCCCATTCTTGTTGATCTAATTTTATTTTAAAAATTTATGGAGCTATAACACGCTTCTGGAAGTTAGAACCTTACCAAAACATATAACTTTCTCTCATATCTCTCATATCTGTTCTGCCCCATTCCCATCTGTTGTAGGTATCCAACTTCACTGGTTTTGGTTTTTGAGGCTTCTTCTTTATGGAGGAAAACAGTAAATGTATGTTTTCTTTCCATTCTTTCTTATACAAAAGGTAGCCTACCTGAAGGGAGACCAGCCATCTTAGTTTGCCTGGTACTGAGAGGTTTCTTGGGACACAGAATTTTTAGTGCTAAAACTGGGACAATCAGGCAAACTGAGATGGCAGGTCACCTTACATACACATTCTTTGTTAAAACAGTTTTGTTGATGCATAATTTGCATACCATGAAATTCACATATATGTTCCTTTAAACATTATTGAGGTATAATTTAATGCCATAAAATTTACTCATTTTAAGTCTGTGCTATTCAGTGACATTTGATAAATTTACAGAGTTGTATAACTTGACCACGGTCTTACTAAATATTTGCATCATTACCATAAAATATACTCAGTTACAGTTAATCCTTGTTTCCTCTTCCAGCTCCAGGGAACCACTATCTACTTTCAGTCCCTATAGATTTTTCTTATCTGGACATTTCATATAAACAGAAGCATCTAATATCTTTTGAATCTGGCTTGTTTTGCATAACATGTTGTTTTTGAGGTTCATCCGTGTCATAGCATATATAGGCATTTCCGTCATTATTATTATTGCTGAATAGTATTTTATTATATACCATATTTTATCCATTTACGTGTTGATGGACCTTTGGACTACTTCCTTTTTCTTTTTTGCAGTGATGCATAATGCTGCTATGAACATAAACGTGCAAGTCTCTGAAAGTGGCTTTTCATTTTGGGGTAGATACCTAGGAGTGGAGTTGCTGGGTTGTGTGGTAAATTTATATTTATTTAAGAAATGGCCAAACTGTTTTCTAAATGGCTGTATCATTTTACATCCCCATCAACAATATATTAGGGTTTCCTGTTTCTCCACATCCTATTTGTTAATGGCTTTTAAAAATTATAGACATTCTTGTAAATGTGAAGTAGTGTCTCATTGTAGTTTTAGTTTGCATTTTCCTAATAACAATGATGTTTAACTTTTTTGTGTGTGCTTATTAGCTGTTTCACATGCCCTTATACATATTCCATTTTTTACTTACTGTTTCCATAAATCACTGCATGTAAATTCAGAGCTCTCTCTCTGTCTCACTTTCTCTTTTGTTGTATTCCATGGCATGTAGGTGCCATAGTTTTTTCTGATCAATCTGCTATCTATGGGCATTTAAGTAGTTTTTAATATTTTACCAAAATACAAAATGCTACAATGAATCGTCTTACATATGTATTTATGTTTAAGGTATTTCTTCAGACTACAGTCCTTGAATACTAAGTCAAAGTATATATGCATGTGTAGTTTGTTGGATATTGCCTTTCCATAAAGGTTGTGGCATTTCAGATTCTACCAGCAATGCGTGAGACTGTTTTCCCACAACTTCACTAACAGTGACATACTGTAAAGCTTTTGAAGTTCTGCCAATCTGATAGGTGGGAAGTAATATCTCATTATTGCTTTAATTTGCATATTATGAATGAAGTTAAACATCTTCAAGGACTATTTTTCTATTTTTTGTGATTGTGCCTTTGTTTATGGTGTTACTTTGCCATGCAAAGTTTTTATTTATTTTTTGGTAGTCAAATTGATTAACTCTCCTGTGAAACCATCTGAGTTTGGTGGTTTTTGGGAATTAATTTCTTGATAACATTATTTCTTATATTTAAATTGATTTCTTTTAAGTTTTTTGGCTTAAAGGGGTCAGTTTGCTAAACTGTATATTTTTAAGAAATTATCCATTTCCTTTTAGTTTTCAAATGTATTTCCACTGAAGTAATCTTTTAAAAAAATTCCCTATATCAATAGTTATTTCTCCCTTGTTATTTTTTATTCTATCTGCACTTTCTCCCTTTTTTCAAAAAATTAAACTAGCAAGTCATTTGTTTTATTGTTTTGGTTTTTTTCAGGACTTTTCTCATTAATTTGATGTACTGTTTTTCTATTTTCTATCTCAATTTCTGTTCTAATATTTTCTTCTTTGGACTTTTTTGTATTTTACTTTGTTGTTCTGGTTCTTTCAAGTTAAGAATTTAGTTCTTATTTATACAGGTATTTAGGCTATGATTTTTTTCTGATTACTGCTTAGAATGTATCTCGTAGATATATTTATTACCATTATTTTTCAGAAATTATGTAATTTTTGTTTGTATTTCCTGTTTTGTCCAAGAGCTAAGTTTAACAGAATATCTTTAATTTACAAGTAGAAGGGCCTTTTTGGTTTCATTTTTAATTTCTATTTTTATTGCACTGCGATCACCGGTATTGTTTGTAATAATTTAGCCTTATAGTTCCTGCTGGTATTTTCTTTGTGCCCTAATATATGTTCAAAACTTTTAAATATACATGTGAATGTATGTATATTTAAGATTGTATATCTCTATTATTAGGATATAGTATTCGGTATGTATTCAAACATCTACCTTATTGATTGTTATTTAGTTCTTATATATCTTTACTTTGTTTTTTGTTTGGTTGACCAGTCTTCTTGTACTGTATGTTAAAGTCTCCTTTTAGTAGTATGTTTGTCTTTGTTCTTTTTGCATCTGTTGTAGTTTCTGTTTTATGTAAGTGTTGCCGTATTGTGGTAGAGATACCTGTTACATCCTAAATGTGAAATGTGGATTTTAATACCATAAAAGTGTCCTTCTTTGTTTTATTTAATGACTTTTGAAATTTGTCTTTTGACCTTGAGTTAAACCCATTCACATTTATTGATAATGTCTGTCATGTTTGGGCTTAATTCTGTTATTTTTTAAAATAATTTTTGTGTGTACTACGCCATAGTTACTGTGTCTTTCAAGATTTGGTGTGTTTCTGCATTTTTACAACATTTTGTTAGGAAGATTTACATTTTTGTTCCAGTGGTTGCTTTGTATTAATATTTTATAGTCTTTTAAATGCTTTTTTTTTTTACTTTTACTGTCAGTTATGTTGTCTTTAAAACATATCCTTTAACTCTCACCTGTTACCTAAATGATAGTCAATGTTCTCATTCATACTTTTCTCTTTTTCTCTCCCTTTTCTTTACTTTTTAAATTGCATTTTTCTACTTCATCAGAACATCGAATGTTATATATTACTATTTTACCTGTGTTCCCCTTATTATTTCAGTCCAAACTTTTCAATTAAATATATGCAGTGCTCACTGTCAGTCCTTTTGCCAGAGTTTTCTTAGTCATGTATTGGTTAGATGAAGTTCATCTTTTAGCAGATTCCTCAGGAAAGGCACATCTATACAGTATTCTTTGAGTTCTTTTGTGTTCAACATGATTTTCCTATAGTCTTGATACTGAAAGAATACTGTGGTTGTTTATAATATCCTTGGTTCACGTTTTCTTTCCTTAAGTTTCTTGAAAACATGGCTCTACTGTTGCCTGCTTTGTATGTTATTTTGGTAAGTCTGCTGTCAAGTCTAATTCTCTTGTTTTAAAATTGTTTCATCTTTTTGCCTAGAAGCAATTAAGATTTTTTCTTTAATTTCAGAGTCTAATAGTTAGGATATGTATCACTGTGGATTAATCCAGGCCAGTTTTCCCTCTACTTGATGGACATTTTCTGTGTGTAAATAGAGGTGGCCTACTTCTTTCTTCTTTCTTTCGTCTTCTGTCTTCTTTCTTTTTTGTTCTTCTCATTTCTTCTTCTCTTCCTCTTCCTCCTCCTCCTCCTTCTTTCTCTTCTTTTTACTCCTCCTCCTCCTCTTTTTTTTTTTTTTTTTTGGTTTGTTTTTGAGACAGGGTCTTTATTGCCCAGGCTGCAGTGCAGTGGCACAAACATGGCCCACTGCAGCCTTGACCTCCCAGACTCAAGCAATCTTCCTGCCTCAGTCCTCCAAGTAGCTGGGACTACAGGTGCATGCCCCCATGCCTGGCTAATTTTTGTATTTGTTGTAGAGACAGGGTTTTGCCGTGTTGCCCAGGGTGATCTTGAATTCCTGAGCTCAAGCGATCTGCCTACCTCAGCCTCCCAGGTGCTGAGATTACAGGCATGAGCCACTGCACCTGGCCCAAGGTCTTTTATTTCTGGAAAGTTTTCTTAAATTATAGTTTAAAATATTAGTTTTACTCTATTGTTTTTGTCTTCCTGGGTCATCAATTAAATATATGTTGGACCCTCTTTGCCTGTCATCCATTTCAATCACTTTATCTCTGGCCATTTTTACTCCTTGCCTACCTCATTTTTGTGATCATAGTTCATGGTTGTTTTTCTGCTTTTCTTCAAGACTCTATTACTTTATCCAAATATCTTCTTAGAGCACCTTGTAGTTTAATTTTTATTTTTGTTATATATGTTTTTCTATTTCTTTCTTGCATTTAATCAACTCTCATTTTATTTCTTGTTATTTTTGTGCATTTTATTCTCTGTTTTTAGTACTTGTACTTCTGATTCAGTCCAGTTTTTTAAATATGCTTGAGAATATTTAGTTGGAATGTGCTGGTACAGTTTTCATTGGCTTCTTGTATTTTTGTTTTTGTTTAATTTCTTTTAGATAAATGGAGATTTTCATCAGCTGAAATGAATTATGTTGATAATGGGAAAAGAAGGAGGTCAGCATGCCTTGTTCTTTATATATCACCAGAGATTTAATCTTTCCTTCTTATTTTATTCTTCCCTTTTACTGCCTCATTGTCCTCTGGAAGCAGTGCTTCACTAAAGCTTCCACTTCCAGTCTTGCTTCTTAATATGTAAGTAGTGTTGTAAACTATCAAGTACTCACCTGTGTTCAGAATTTTGGACTTTAATATTGCACTTTCCCTTTTTAGGCAGAATTTTTCCTTTGCTTTGTCTAAGTCGTCTGTACCCTGTACTCCTTTTCATAGAATCCCTTACTCCCTTGCCTACTGTCCACACTTACAGGCTTACAGCATCAGGGGAGCAGTAGGAGCTCTCTGTTGGGAGTTTTTCTTCTCTGCTTAGAGGTGACTTGAAGGCTGCAGTGTTTTCTGTCTCCTAGTAATAGTGAATGCATAGGTCATCTAAAGTTTAATTTATTCTCTTTGTTCGTATATCATTTCATTTAGTAGGATGTGGGGAGAATTCAACATTAGCTACCATTGTTCTCTAGAGCTATAAGGTTCTTTTCCAGTTTTTAAAGTAATTTTGCTGGTTTGTGAAATTTATAATTCCTGAAACCTATGGATTAGAAGACTGACCCTTAGAGATAAACTATCCTGTGCTGTCTCTTGGGAGGACAGATTCAGCAGAAAGTTACTGGCTCTTCTCAGTTTTTCCTTTTCCCTTCTCTCTCATCAGCAACAAGAGTAGGAAATAAGCTCCATTACTGTCTTTTCCTGGTGTGTTTGCTGTTAACTTGCAGGTTACCTTGGGCCACAATTATCTTTCTGAGGAAGTTCTCAATGGCATGCTCATGTTGGCTAAAGTGGGATATTCATGGGTTTCAAATTAAGAAATAATATGTCTATTAAGTCCAACAACTATTTCTAGTCACCTGACACTATTTAAATCAACTGTGATAAATGATGTAATAGTGTGCATTTTGAGTAAAACTCAGTGATTAATGATGGCTAAACCCATTTATATCAGTCTGCTTGAGCTAGCATAAAAAAATACCATAGACTGGGTGTCTTAACAAAGTTAATTTCTCACAGTTCTGACAGCTGGAAGTCTGAGATTAAGGTGCCAGTATGGTCGAGTTCTGGTGAGGGTTCACTTTCTGGCGTGCAGACAGCTTTCTCACTGTGCCCACACATGGCAGAGAGAGGGACAGGAGAAAGACAGAAAGCTCTCTGGTATCTCTTATAAGGGTAGCAATCCTGTTATGAAGGCCCCACCCTTAAGATCTCATCTAAACCTAATTATCTCCCAAAAGTCCCATCTTCAAATACCATCACATATGGAGTTAGGGTTTCAACATATGAATTTTGAGGGAATGTAATTCAGTCCGTAGCACCACTCAAGACAGTACCTGTTTGGAGTATAGAATTCAGGATTCTAACAGGGCAAGGAAAGTCTGACACTGGTGGTTGAAAAGAATAGTACTCTTGAAAAGAGCAGAAATAATTGTATTGTTGATAGTGTTAGCTAAGTATCGTAATCAAATGGAGATGAGTTCCACAAAGAATTGAGAAAGAGAGCACGAGAGATGGCAGCCGAAAGAAATGGTGAGTGCTTATTAATGAACTGCAGCATAGCAGGGATAACACAACAGAAATCAGTGAGAAATGAAGATCATATATTAATATATTAGATATTCCTGAAAAGACCCCAGAAGATAAAGAAAACAGCAACTCAGATATAAAGACATAGAGAGTTCCTTTTCCAGGATGCTCTACTTTTCCGGAGGGCTATACATAAATGGAAATTATGTTGTAAATTTTATTTCCCTAAAACGTGTCTGTGGGTGGGATAGCTAATCAGGTTCTTATTAGCTGTCTGCTCTTATATAAATTGTAGCTTTCTGAGCTTTAATTTCCTCACATAAAATTTTTGGGCACATAATGAGACTTTCTTCCCAAAATATTAGCCCACTCCCTATTTGCTTTCTTTTAAGGAGACGATCCTCATTATATTTTGTTCTTGGTTCCCTCTCTGCATTCTCCCAGTAGAAGATGGGATAGAGAATAGGCAGTAGAACTGTGTATGAGGGTTCTCCAGAGAGTGAATAGGCTATATATATATGAAATTAGCTCACGTGATTACAGAAGCTGATAAGTCCCAAGATCTGCTTCAAGGTAAGCTGGCAAGCTGGAGACCCAAGAAAGCTGATGGTTTAGTTGCAGTCTGAGTCCAAAGGTCTGAGAACCAGGAGAGCCAATGTTGCTGTTCCAGTTCAAAGGCCAGTAGGCTCAAGACCCAGGAAGAGCCAAAGTTTCAGTTCAAGTCTGAAGGCAAGAAAAAAGCAATGTCTCAGTTTGAAGGCTGTCAGGCAAAAAGAATTTTCTCTTAGTCAAGTGAAGGTCAGCCCTTTTGTTCTAATCAAGCCTTGAACTGACTGAATGAGGCCCACCAACATGATGGAAGCAATCCCGTCTATCCATGCCACTGATTTAAGTGTTAATCTCATCTTAAAACACTTTCACAGAAACACCCAGAATAATGTTTGACTAAGTATCTTGGCACTCTGTGGCCTAATCAAATTGACACGTAAAATTAATCATCATAGTTGACAAGGGAGTCTCATCCTGTTGGCAAGACTTGCCGTAGAGGGAAAGGGAACAGCAAAAGAATCTAGAACTGGCCTATGAATAATTTTGATTTAGAATTTAAATCACAGGAAATACTCTATTGTTTTTGAAATGTGATTGTGACATCACCAGTGAGGTCAGTCTTTACAGTAATTTTGGTTCTGAATATGAAAACCCTTAATTTTTAAATTTGGCAAATCAGTGGTCTATTTTGGGACCACCTCCCCCACTACCTCCATGAAAGCCAAACTTTATAGCAGGGGAGTCCAATCTTTTGGCTTTCCTGGGCCTCATTGGAAGAAGAATTTTCTTGGGCCATAACAGTAACTGATGAGCTTTAAAATGTATATATATATATCGCAAAAAAACCCATGATATTTTAAGAAAGTTTACAAATTTGTGTTGGGCCCCATTCAAAGCCATCTTGGGCTACATGTGGTCCATGGGCCACAAGTTGGACAAGCTTGTTCTATAGCTTACCAACAAGTAGGCCTAAAGAGGGAAGATGAAATATAGTTCATTTTAAGGGGAAAATAGCCTACAAAAGTTTAACCTTCTGAAGAGTCAATTGAGGCTGTTGAAATAAACTGATAATGAACAGATTAATTGGAGAAAAGACATACAGATTTATTAATATGCACAGGAGCCAAATAAAATGTGAGACTCTGAGAAGGGCCAGATAGCTGAAACGTAAATAGCATAAAGGAATGGGAACCTGAAGCATTGGGGGGAAGTAGCAACAAGTTAGGGGAGGGAAAGGGGAGGAACCAAATGATGAGCAAAGGCTGTCTTACTATTCAGATAAAAGTTGTTTTAGAGCTGCATCCAAAAGAATAGGTGATAGCCTGTCTGCCTGCAGTGATGAATTAATCTCCTCTGTGGTGATTAATCTTTCCTGGTTGCTTAATGAGTTTCCTAGGGAAAGGATTCGAGACCATTGTGTTCCTTTTGGAAGAACTTCCTTCCCTCAGTCAGATAAGGGAACTTCAGAGAAAGGACCTCCCTGCACTTCAGCAGAGAAGTTGTGGAAGGAGCAGAAGGTCAGAGAGAAACATTGGTTCTGAGGCTTCGTTCTGGAGCATTTTAATCTCCTTTGTTCAAAGCTCTCAGCATGTTTTGGGGTGTCATTTTCCGAGCCCCAATACTACTAAATTACATTTGTCAGATTACTGACCTTACAATGTTGAAGAATGTCATCTTCTTAAAACATACACACACAAAAATACAGAGACCAGAAGAAGGACAGCATATTATCTAGCCAAGCATCCAGCACAGTGCGTAACACTTAGTAGGTACTTTATAAATATTGAAAGAATGACCCTTTAGACTTCTTTTGCTTCAGTAATATCAAATATGTATTATTTATAGAAAATCTGTAGGAAAGATAAAGAGGAGATTAAAAGTGTTAAAAAAAAGTTTTTTCTTGCAGAGAAACAAAATAATAATCAGGGAAGAGAAGGCCAAAAAAATCTAATGAACCTTCAGACATCTTAAGGGAAACCTAAGATAGATGGCCTCTCTTGCTAAAATTAATACTAAAGAAAGGAGAGGAAGCCCATGGCGGGGCATGGGGTGGGGAGGGTGGGGCCCAGAAACCACACAATAATGCAAAAATGAATTTTTATACCATACCTTTCAACTATAAGACTTACAAAAGAAGTTAGGAGAAGGAAAATGTCCTGGACAACTACTCTAAATTTACATTACCTTATAAATGTACTGAAATGTTAACTCAGCATGAAATAATTGAGATTTGTTATTGTTTTGTAAAGATGCTAAATAAGAGGGGAAACAGTACTTCAGAGAAGACGTCTCTTCATCTGGGCACATTGCCTAAAAAGCTGAAAATTATCAACAGATATTATTCTAAATGGGATTTGGAAAAGAAGAAATTTTGCGGATTAAATTCCAAATGAAATTAAGATTACTGTGGGAGAGAAATTGCTGAATACTGGTCTATTTCACCTACTTTCTTGATTAGCATTTGTGTTTGACCTCTTTATCATATTTATACATTTCTATTTTCTATTAGGTTTTTCCAAAAAATTGTTTTATAGAGTTTTTATGATTTTGACAGTTCAACATTTATATTCCAAGCAAAAGTGATAATCTTTTTCAAGCGTGTGTTACTAAGGTCTTAGAGAAAATAAACCCAGTCATTTGATACAACAGCAGGAAAATAGGAGTCATCTTTCTAAATTAAACCAGCTATTCATAAACCTATTTATTATCTAATTTTATTCTACAATTATCCTACATATCTGGTTTTTCAAGTGTGGATAGGAAGTTATTCTGTGCATGCCAGTATACTCACTCTTTCTTAGCTCTTTCTTTTTTTTTGAGACGGAGTCTCACTGTGTCGCCCAGGCTGGATTGAACTGCAGTGGTGGAATCTCAGCTCACTACAACCTCCACCTCCCGGGTTCAAGTGACTCTCCTGCCTCAGCTTCCTGAGTAGCTGGGATTACAGGCCCTGGCCACCACACCTGGCTAAGTTTTTTTTTATTTTTAGTAGAGATGGGGTTTCACTATGTTGGTCAGGCTTGTCTTGAACTCCTGAACTCAAGCAATCCACCCACCTCAGGCTCCCAAAGTGCTGGGATTACAAGCATGAGCCACTGCGCCCGGCCAGCTTTTTCTTTTTTTGATGATACAAGTGCTAAATGAGTTAGTTACCTTAGTTTTCTCTAAAGTCCCCTTCTGAAGGAAGCCGCCTCACCTATGGTCATTGCAGAAAGAGAGATCTGGCCTATTACTATGTGACCCTTCCCAGCTACAATGATTAACTGGACCAGCAGCAGAATCTTTATCCAAATGAAAAAAAAATGCTGACTTCTGGCCTTGGAGATAGCTTTTCTCAACCATGATGAGCTGGGTCACTTCACATCCTTGCTCCAGATTCTAAACCAGGTAATTCTAAGTACTGGCTGGCAGTGAGAGAGGAAGCTGAAAGGATACAAAGAGGCTTAAAGCAGAAGGAGGCACACAAGAGCCAACATTCAGAAAAGCAGAAAACATGAGTAAGAATGAGGTGGAGAGAACTGATCAAATGGTAAGTTGTCCCTTGATAGAGTAAAAGCAGAGTATAGAAACACAGAGAGAAACAGCTGGAGAGTTGCTTAAGTTACATTGAGATGAAAGTTCACTTGGCTGCTGTTGAGATAAAATAATACAGTCCCCAGTTCTGGTTTGTTTCCAGAACGGCCTTCCAGTTCCAAACAGAATCAAACTGGGCTGTGCCATAATTCCTTACTTACCTGTTCCTTTGCCTCCTTGTGTGTTCAAAATATAAACAACAACAACAACAAAACAAATATAGGCAAATGATTTCAGGTATAGCTGCAGTGAATAGTGAACAAAATGCTGATCTGCACTTTATAAAAAGAAGAAATTGGGAGAAGGAAAATGTCCTGGATGACAATTCTAAAAAACATTACTTATTAAATGTACCAAAATGTTTAAACTGAAATGTTTAAGACGGATCTTCTGATCTTATATTGTCCTCCGTTCTACTCCCTCCTCCCTCCATCCTCCCAAAATACAAGACACCTAAGAAAACACTCTTTGACACACATAGCCAATTTTTGATTGGACATCCCATTGAGCTGGTTCTCAGAAGCCTAATATTACTATCATGTTCCTAACTGCTGTATTTGTTAAGAATGTATTAGGTTGTGTGCAACAAAACTAAGTAATGTTTAAATAAATAATTTTTTTAACAAAGCAAGAAATTTAGAATAATGCAGTTGCAGATATTGATAGTGTCTTAAATATAGACTTTGGGAGACTTTCATAGGCTTTTCCTCACTCATTCATGTCCACATTTGAGGCAGGATAAAGGGAAGAGGGATCCTCTTGTCTTACCAGATAAAGTGAAAGTCTTTCCAGGGTCCCCAACAGTCTTCCATGTATGCTTTCATTGTCAAGAATTGTGTCACATGGTCATTTCTGCTTATTAGGGAATCTCAGGAATTACTTGGTAATGACTGGTGCTGGGCACCACGTTCTTCTGCAGGAAAAGGAGTTTCTATTAGCAAGTAATAGATGTTATAATAGAGATGATAATACTGATGGAATGGACTCTGTGACAATATGGCACCAAATTATAAACAAGTCCCCTAAGGCCATACCTTGAGATAAGCAATATTAAAACATTTGCAGCTCACTGACTGCCAGATGTTGACTGATAACTCTCCCACCCCTATTCCACAAGCCATAAGTACAGCTTTGATTTGACAAGAGACTGATTTCAGTAACTTTCTGCTGATGAGAGACTACTGATCATGGACTTGTTCTGGCCAGTTTACAGAGGCTGCACACTGAGTGTCTTAGCCTCTGCTGCTTCACCTTTTGACATATTGAGCTTCACCTTTTGACATATTGGGCCTAAATACGTTTAAATGTTAAGTCTCTATGCCAAAGATGCATGCATGCACGTTTGCTTAATACACATGCAGGTGTCCCCCTTTGTCAATATTCATATCTCCTCTTATAACCTGTTGAATATATATACCTAGCTAACCTGCGTAGCATAAATTCCTGTCTTACCTTTCCTCCAAAGTGACTTGTTTTTCGCCTCTGCTGGAGGGTATCTATACTTCCCTGCAGGCTGAAACACTTTATAAGAAATAAAGTTCTCTCGAAATTTATGAACCTTGAGACGAATGAGATGCAGACAGGCAGCACTGGAGAATGAACACTAGTCATGGATGCCTGGGCATAGCCCAGAGCCAGGGACTTCCCTGGGTGAGGTTGTCCTCATACTCAACTAGCCATCTGTTGGTGCTACAACAGCTCAAGCCTAAATCCTGAAATTTGCACTTTTCTTTTAGCTTGAAAAAAATTTAAAGCTACAGAAGAATTGCAAGAATTGTACAATAATATGTCTATATGTATGTATGTATCATTGTTATATAATATGTATTATCATCATTGTTGAACTAATTTTAAATGTTGCAGACATCATGACCATGACCTTATCCTAAATACTTCACCATATATCTCTTAAGAACAAGTATATATTTTTTACATAACTTAGGGCAATAATCAAATTCAGAAAATTTAATTGATTTAATACTGTTATCTAATATACAGTCATATTTCAATTTTGTTTATCCTTCCAATACTGTTCCCTCCCCACCCTCCCACCCCAATTCAGGAGCCAATCTAGGATTATGACATGGATTTAGTTGCCATGTATCTTCAGTTTCAATTTTTCTTTGTCTTTTCATAACATTGACTTTTTTTAAGAGAACAGCTGGTGGTTTTATAGAATTCCATCAATTTGGGTTTGTCAGATTATTGGCTTATGATTAGATTCAGTTATGAATTTTGGCAAGGATATTGCAGAAGTTATGATAGGTTCTTCTTAGTGCAACTTATCACGATACACATGATGTCTGTTTGTCCCATTATTGGTGATGTTAACTTCCGTAACTTGCTCCATTGAAAAGTACCCCCTTCCTTTCTGTAATTAAGTAATCTGTGGAGAAGATGCTTTGAAATTGTATACATATTTTATTTCCTAAGAAACTTTCATCTATTGATAATTATTTCCTGAATCAATTATTATTA
This sequence comes from Homo sapiens, assembly GCF_000001405.40. Lineage (NCBI taxonomy): Eukaryota > Metazoa > Chordata > Mammalia > Primates > Hominidae > Homo > Homo sapiens. The sequence goes on along the minus strand of NC_000003.12, from coordinate 167,667,455 downwards.
AAGTTTGTTGTAAAATAATGAATTTCTAACTCTATTAAAATTTCTTTACTCCCTTCCTTCTTCCCCTCCTTCTTCGCTTGCTTCCCTCCCTTCCTCCCTGTCCCCTCTCTCCCTCCCTCCCTCCCTTCTTTCCTTCCTTCCTTCCTTCCCTCCTTCTTTCCTTCCTTCCTTCCTTCCCTCCCTCCTTCCCTCCCTCCTTCTCTCCCTCCTTCCCTCCCTCCCTCCCTACAAAACTGCTACAAGGAAACATTGGAGAAAATCTCCAGGACATTGGTCTGGGCAAAGACTTCTTGAGCAATACCCCATAAGCACAGGCAACCAAAGCAAAAATGGACAAATGGGACTACATCAAGTTAAAATGATTCTGCAAAGCAAAATATGCAATAAACTAAGTGAAGAGACAACCCATATAATGGGAGAAAATATTTCCAAGCTACCCCTCTGACAACGGAATAATCACTAGAATATATAAGGAGCTTAGACAACTCTATAGGAAAAAATTCTAGTAATCTGATCAAAACATGGGCAAGAGATTTGAATAGACATTTCTCAAAAGAAGACATACAAATGGTGAACAGCCATATGAAAAAGTGCTCAACATCACTGATTGTCAGAGAAATGCAAATCAAGACTATAATGAGATGATCGTCTCACTCCAATTCAAATGGCTTTTACCCTAACAACAGGAAATAACAAAGACTGGCAAGAATGTGGAGAAAAAGGAACTCTTGTACACTGTTTGTGGGAATGTAAATTGACACAACCACTACGGAGAACAGTTTGGACATTCCTCAAAAAACTAAAATTGAGCTTCCATATGATCCAGTAATCCCAGTGCTGGATAGATATCCCCATCCCCCACCAGAAAAAAAAGAAATTAGTATATTGAAGAGATATCTGCACTCCTATGTTTGTTGTAGCACTGTTAACTAAGCTAAGATTTTGTTACAGCACAGTTTACTAAGCTATGGAAACAACCTTAGTGTCCATCAACAGACGAATGCATAAACAAAATGTGGTATTTATACACAATGGAGTACTATTCAGCTAGCCATAAAAAGAATGAGATCCTGTCATTTGCAACAACATGAGTGGAACTGGAGATTATTATGTTAAGTGAAATAAGCCAGGCACAAAAAGACAAACATTGCATGTTTTCACTAATTTGTGGGATCTGAAAATCAAATCGATTGAACTAGTGAACATAGAGAGTAGAAGGATGGTTACCAGAGGCTGGGTAGTGTAGAGGGGGGTTAGAAGGAGGTAGGGATGGTTAGTGGGTAAAAGCAAACAAACAAAAATAGAATTAATAAGATCTACTTTTTGATGTCATAATAGGGTGACTATAGTCAATGATAATGTATATTTTAAAATAAAGTGTAATTGGGTTGTTTGTAACTCAAAGGATAAATGCTTTTGTGGGGATGGATACCCCATTCTCCATGATGTGCTTATTTCACATTGCATGCCTGTATCAAAGCATCTCATGTACCCCATAAATATATGCACCTACTATGTACCCATAAAAATTTTTTTAAAAAGTTGAAAAATATATTTTTTAATGATCCTGATTTGGTCAGTGGGAGCACTTTTTTGGTTTCTCTAATTTTCTCATCATTTTAAAAGCATTTTATTATTTTCTAGGCAAGAAAACATTCCAGATTTCTTATATTAACCCAAGAATCATTCATTTCTACAAGTAGAATGGTATTTAGAAATGAAGACTTGGGCTGTAGGTGTCACTTTGTAACTGAGATGTCTCAACAGTCAGTGCTAGGAAATAAATGTGTGTGTGTGTGTAAATTTATACTGATACTTCTCATTCCCATCCAATAGCACAGAGTTCTTCATTGCCTTTCTCCGTTCCATATTTGTATCTCTCTTCTGCTATAATGGAAACCCTGATTCCTAAAATAAAACAATGTTTATTTATTGGTACAATTCAATAATAGGCACAAAATTTCTACTCCCATGCCACCACAATCTAGAAATCTATTAGAGGTCAAAATTTCTTTGCACACACTCTGAAGTTCCGTTGGATTTTCCCCTCCTTGTGGTTATGTCATCAACTTGGTTAGGTTCACTTGTTTCTATTTGTGTTCAATTTTAGTTTGTTCCCCGCTTTTGTTGACTTATTTTTATTTTTTAATGTTTAAAATATTTACATGTTTTCTGAGTTCAAAACTTTGCAAAAAGATATTTCAGAATTGTGCTTATTATCCATTCTTGATTCTTCTCTCCTCTATACTCATTGGATACTCTTTCTTGTATTTCTGATATTTTTCTAGGCTGTAAATAAGCCATCATTACCTGTCAACTTGATTATGTGTATTGCCTCCTAGCTGGTTTTGCCCCCCTTTCAATCCAGTAATTCGAACCTGGGCTGCACAATAAAATCTTTTAAGGAACTTTAAAATATATTGGTGCCTAGATTCCACCTCCAGGGATTTCAAATAATTCTTCTGGAGGGGGCTGTTATTGGATTTAAAAAAAAAAAACTGCCTAGATCATTTATGAAACTACCTAGATGAAAACCACTGGGCAATTCAACGATTTTTTGTCAATGAACATCTCATTATGTTACATTCCCAGCTTAAAATTTCGATAGCTTCCCAGTGTCCTGAGCATGAACACCTAGCTCCTTCCTATGGCTCCATGATCTAGGCTTACTTCTCCAGTCAGACTTGTGCCCCTTCTCCCTATGCTGTAAGAGCCACCCAGACTAAACTACTTTTATCCCCAGGAATCCACCAAGGGCTTGGCCACCTCCAGGCCTTAGCACAGACTGTATCTTCTGCTTAAACCCTCTTTTTCCTATTCTTTATCTGGCCAATATCTAATCATTTGGGTGCCATCATAGATATGACAGAATTTAATCACATCTTTCTTACCTGATCTTCCACGTCTGGTTTAGGAGCCTGTGCATGTTCTTCCTTGGACCCCCTTATCACTGTTTTAATAAAAATGTGTAGTAACCTTCTGCTTTTTGCTTATCTCACCCTACTAGATGACAAACTTTGTGGGAGAAAGCCAGCCTGTCTCTGTCATCGTCAGTGCCTATCACCATGCTTGGCCATTGTGGCTGCTCAATGAATGAATGGGGAAATAAATAACTGAGTGGATAAACAAATAAATGTAAATTGCCTTCTTTTGATAGAATCCATTTGCCATAACCAAGTTCCAAAATCCTCACTGGTAATCCAATAAGAGAAGCAGGTAGTGCAGGACTAAGTGTGTGGCAGGTTGCACAGATGCTTGACTGACAGGTCGACTTATTTATCCATATGACGATTTCATTTATAATTATCAAAAAAGTATTTAAGGCCGGGCGCGGTGGCTCATGCCTGTAATCCCAGCACTTTGGGAGGCCGAGGCGGGCGGATCACGAGGTCAGGAGATCGAGACCATCCCGGCTAAAACGGTGAAACCCCGTCTCTACTAAAAATACAAAAAATTAGCCGGGCGTAGTGGCGGGCGCCTGTAGTCCCAGCTACTTGGGAGGCTGAGGCAGGAGAATGGCGTGAACCCGGGAGGCGGAGCTTGCAGTGAGCCGAGATCCCGCCACTGCACTCCAGCCTGGGCGACAGAGCGAGACTCCGTCTCAAAAAAAAAAAAAAAAAAAAAAAAGTATTTAAAATGTCCACAGTCATGTTCTGAGTACTTCCAGTATAAATGCAATAATATTACCTGGGATATAGCATCTTTTATTTTTCTGTAGAGCTCTTAGGATTCTTATATTTTCCTTCCCTGTCCTTCTTAAATTAAGTACTAGAAGAGACTTTAAAGACCATGTAATTTATTCTTACAATTTTACAGGTGAAGATTCTGAAACCAGAGAAGTTAAGTAACTTACCCAAGGTCATGAAGCTGTTTATTGTCGTATATCTGTATCATTTTCCTCCTAATTGAAAACTTGACTCACTTCCCTAAATTAATGCCCCCCTTGGTAAAGTTGTAAGCCCCATGATTTCCTCCACTGTATTTTCCCAATAGGTACATGAGCTCTTTTTCCTGAGCTAATCACCACCCCACCCCCGTGTAGTGGACATGAACACAACAATTATCACTTGTACCATTTGCTCTGAACATACAAGAGTGCGTTTTTAAAGCTCTCCTAAGAACCTCATATTGTTTCAGACGATGGCAAGAGTTAATCTTGAAAATTACAAAACCAAAATGTGTTGAGTAAATTGAGATCCATTTTCTCTGACAGCATTTGGCCTAGGCAATGATTGCAACAGCTCCATCTGCATTTTGTAAGATGTCTTCTTTGTGAGTACACTTGCAACAACTTGATGTAGGAGTGCACTTCCGATATTAATTTGATGACTGCTGCTCCTGCTGTAGACAAATAGAGGCCCTTGGTCTTCACGGCTTTCAATCAGAGGCACCATGCTCAGGAGGCACACTATGTTCTGTGAGAAATATTTATTGTGCCAGTATTCTTTCTTGGGACTATAGCTTTCAATCTTTCAAAGTGCGTTTTGTTTCAGAACTTTGATTTTTACAAGTGTAAAATTCCTTTCTATTGCCCTTTTTCCCTTTTATTTCTTTGTTTTCCTAGACAGAATTTCCTAAAGTAAACAAAGGTGAAATGGTAGCATTTTTCATAGAAATATGGATGTTTCTGATTTTTTTTGTGGTTAAGTAGAGGTTTTGCCCAGAAAAAAAAGAGTATGAAACAGATTAAAACATATATATTTGATGCCAATCCATTCCCCTTTCTGTGATCTCCTTTTTGTTGGTTAAAACATTCATTCAATATTTATTTGGTGCCTACTATGTGTCAAGCACTGTGCTAGGTGTTCAGTATTGTAGGTATATTATTACAATATAATGATTGTATTTATTTCTATCTTATATTAGTTTAATAATAATAAACTTCAACAACATAGATTTCTATCCATAAACTTTTTTTCCTGTCTTCCCATATAAAAAAATGTATTAGTTTCCATGGGCTGCCATAACAAAATACCACTAACTCAGTGGCTTAAATAACAGAAATTATTGTCTTGTTTCTAGAGACAAGAAGTTGACATAAAGGCATTGGCAGGGCCATATTCCCTATGAAGGCACTAGGAAAGGACCTATTCCAGGCTTCACTTACAGCTTCTGATAGTTCTTTGTCTTGTGACAGCAAACCCCAGTCTTTACATGGCTTTCCCTATGTGTTTGTGTATGTGTGTGTGTTTATAGACAATTTCTTATTTTTATAAGGACACCAGTCATATTGGATTAGAGCCCACACTACTCTAGTATAACCTAATCTTAACTAATTACATCTCCAATGACCCTATTCCAAATAAGGTCACATTCTGTGGTACTCGGGTAGCCCCAGTGGGGACTTCAACATATTAATTCTGGGGGCACACAGTTCAAGCCATAACACCCATTCAGATGTCACCAATTCCAAAGCTATTTTTACTCCATTTACCATGCCTCCTCAACCATATATAATTAAGCAGTCTTTTCCTTAACATGCATACCATTTCATCTACACCCTTTTTTACCTATCTGATTCATATGGATGGCTTATGTCATTTTCTAGACTTTATGCTCCTTAATATTAAGACCCATAACTGATAGCTATTGGGTATCACCAGGGTAGTGCCCTACACATGTTAAGTCACATAAACATATAAAACGAATGAATGACCCAACCAAAAAATAAATATTTACATAGCCATTTCTGGCTAGAAAATGTCTCTATACATGATTTCATTTGAGCCTCAAAGTAATTATTTGCACTGTACATGTAGGAATCATTATCTTCACTTAGGACTGTGGAAACTGACGCCCAATGAGGGTAAATTTTAGAGTCACATGGACATGGTGGAGGCTGCACCAAAATTCAGGTCTCCTGACTCTAAATTTAGAATTACTGTTTCATTGTATTTTATTCCCTTCAGAGATACTCTTATCGCTACCTTATACCTCTGCCACCCCAGTTAGTGGTCAGTGCTTACCCAAAGTACTGTAACTGCCCACAGTTTCCCCATATGAGGCAACTTATCTGAGAAACTTCTAGTCTTTGCCCTGACATGTCTCCCCTTCTCTCTCTTTATCTCTCTCCTTCTCTCTGTCTCTCTCTGTGTCTCTGTCTCCGTGTGTGCACGTGTGTTTATATGTATATATATCTCTTCCTTTGGGGTTAAGCCATTCAGTGAGACCAAATTAAATTAAAATCCACTTTCCTTCTAGAATAGAGTGTTTAATGTTTTAGGAACAAAACATCTGATTCTGGGGATTCAGGCACTCAGACAGTCTAAGAGGGTCACATTATGATAGACAGTAGTTACACTGCTTTGAATATCATTTCTGTTGTTATTAAAAAAAACAGATTCAGACAGTGCCGAACAGACCAGGCCCTCTTAGGGAAGATGTCTATAGTTGACATTAACTCTGACTAATCATAAGGAAGAAAGCATTTTTTCAAAATGATAAAACCACACATCTACTAACTCATACAAATGTGTGCGCGCACACAATCATTGCATTTAATAACTAACATTGAAGTATTGATATAGCGTTGCTCTCTGGAATAGATTTAGACATAAGACCTTCCTAAACACAATGAAAATGATTACAGAATCTCAGCTTTAATGTGAAACATCATGATATAGATAATTTTGCTTCATTCTGTTTTACAATTCTAATATTCCAATCTCTCTGTGAACTCCTACCTTATTTTCCCAAGGTTGCAGGAAATTTACCTTCTTCCAACTGTGTAATAATATTAATGTTAATTCATGTGCATAATGTTTTAAAATTTACATAGAGTTTTCACTGTATTTTATCTTTTTAACCTTAAAATGATTCTATGAGATAAACAATTCTGCTATCTTCATTTTGAGAAATGACTCAACCTGCCCAAGATGATAGGGCTGAAAATGAGAGAAACAAGACTTGAACCTGGTATTCTGACTCCAAATTTTAAGCCCATTTGACTTTATTTCCTAGTATGGGCTTTCTTATTTCTTTACTTTTTGCACGTTTTAGCTCCTGAACTGGGTTAGAATTTATTGTGGTGTTTAGCAGTCTACCCTGCACAGGGCTTTATACTATGGAGAAACTTGGGATTTGAACTCCAGCTTTTCTACTTCTTGCTGGATGATCCTAACACGTCATTTGCCCTGCCTAAGCCTCAGTTTCTTCAGCTAAAAATGATGACAATAATAGTGCCCATATCATAGGATTTCCAGGAAAATTAAAGGAACTAATCTATGTAATGTTCTTAAAGTGCATAACGTCATTCTATTGGCATTGCTACATTATAGAATTTGCAAGTTGTATGAAGTTGGATGAGATATTTTTTGTTTTAGTTTCCTCATCTGTCAAAAAAAGAGAGAAAACATTAGGTATCTTGCAGAGATATCACAAGAATTAAGTAAAATAACATTTGTGAAAGTGCTTAACACAATGTTTGGCATATACTAGGAGCTCAATAATTGTTCATTTCCCACCTAACTGCTTTCTGTCTTTCTTCAAGGAGACAATCAGTAAATGCTTACTGGATTATCAGTGACTCCTTTCATGCAATGATTTTTTGACTGTTTTCTAGTGGCTCTAAACATGAATGCGAGTGTTCGATATCTAGGTGGCTTTGACACACTGTTCTAAAGCCCCAGGTAGAATAGCAGGCAGTTTTCTCAGAGAGGCAATGGAAAGGAATTTAGTAAGCTAGTTCAGAGCAATTGCCGAGTAAGTGGCTCCCTTATGAAGGCCCCACTGATGACTGAGAGACCCACGTGTGACTGAAAACAAGGATGCTGGATTTCAAAGAGAAGATATGCTAAAGCAAAGAGGGACAAAAGTGATTCGTTGTTGGAAATACTCATCAGAATTTGCATAAATAGATTGACCTTCTGACTACTTTTTTTTTTTTTGAGACAGCCTCACTCTGTTGCCAGGCTGGAGTGCAATGACGCGATCTTGGCTCACTGCAACTTCAGCCTCCCGGGTTCAAGCAATTCTCCTGCCTCAGCCTCCTGAGTAGCTGGGATTACAGGTGTGTGCTACAATGCCCGGCTATTTTTTGTATTTTTGTAGAGACAGGGTTTCACCATGTTGGCCAGGCTGGTCTTGAACTCCTGACCTCAAGTGATCCACCTGCCTTGGCCTCCCAAAGTGCTGGGATTACAGGCGTGAGTCACTGTGCCCAGCCATGAATACTTTTAAGTACTGATCTCAATATTAAATTCAGCGGATCCTAAGTGTCTACTGATAAAGTCTTAGTGGGCTTTTTTCAAGTAAGTTAGAACATTTAAGTCAATAATTTTCTCAGTTTTACAATCTATTTCCGCATCTATTTTTAAATTTAGCTACCGCTGCTTGCTTCTTTATGATATGTAATTTACTGCAAAATTATATATTTAGTTGTTTTAGGATATCATTATTTCAATAATTCTGTGTTCAAATACTTGAAAAGTTTGAGAAATGCTGTTATGAAAATACAGTTTTGTCTGAGTACAGTGACTCATGCCTATAATCCCAGCTCTTTGGGAGGCTGAGGCAGCGGGATGGCTTAAGCTCAGTAATTTGAGATTAGCCTGGGCAACATAGGAAGACCCCGTTTCTACACAAAAGTTTTAAAATTAGCCAGGCATGGTGACACATTCCTGTAATCACAGCTACTTGGGAGGCTGAGGTGGAAGGGCCTGTGAAGTTGATGCTGAAGTGAGCTGTGATCAGAGCACTGCACGCCAGCCTGGGTGACAAGGCAAAACTCTGTCTCAAAAAAAAAAAAAAAAAAAAAAGGAAAGAAAGAAAATGATTTAAAAATTACAGTGTTGTTAATTTAACAATGGAAACTACTTTCTCAAAAGATAGGATTAATTGAAAGCCAACATTTACTGTGACATGTGTCTCTGAGCAATGGTGGGCATAGAGATGTATCTCATTTATCTTTGCTTTTCCAGTGTTTAGAAGCAGCACCTGGGACAGAGTAAAGCTTCAACACATATTTGTACATTACACAGAAATTGTATGAAGAAAATGCATTTTTTCAAAAAGCACTTGATAATTTTAAGTGGCTTGAAGATACTGTCTCAAATTTCATTTCTGTCACTAATTTTCTTTCTCTCTTTTTCTTAATGACCTTTGAGTCATATGATTTTCTTTTTTTCACAGAATTCTGCTTCTCCTTCTGATTCAATGCCGCCTATTCCCAGGACCCTTGCTTGATAACTCAAGGTTATAGGTGAATGTCTCCTTTACCCACCTTGTTTACAAATGAGCATACATTGCTGTAGTGTCGAGAAGTTTATGCAGAACACCATGTTGGGCAATGTAAGGCTGCAGCATTAGTGAGGTATCATCCCTGTTCTTAGGAGTTAATCTAATGGGAGAGAGAGATACACAGACAACTAATTACATTACAAAGCAGGAAGAAACAGTGCTGTGTTTAAAGTCTGAAAAAAATGCTGTGGTTGCAGAGTGAAAGGAGTAATTAATTCTAACTGGGAGGATAAGGAACAAAGAAGGAAAGAAACTAATATCTGTTGAGGGCTTAAAAGGTGCCAAGGGCAGGGCCAGAGCTTTCCCCAGGCTTTGAGAGGAGGTTCCTTTACACAGAGCCAGCGGGTGTCTGGGGCTTTGCTGGAAGGCATGAGGTCAAGAGGCAAGAAGATGATGGGAAAAACATCCTTTCTTTCTCTTCCTGTAGCAGTGAGGACTTGAGAAGGAGCAGTGAGGACTTGAGAAGAACAAGGAGCAGTGAGGACCTGAGAAGGCTGGGCCGGAAATGAGGTTCCTAAGGTAAAACTGATTTCAGTTGAAGTGAGGAGGTGGAGGGAGAATTTAGGCAAAGATTAACGAGTAAGAACAGGCTTCAGTGTGAATGGTGGGCAAAGAAAGAAAGAGGAGTTAGAAGAAAAGGAAAAGGGAGATCTATATGTTGGTGGGGATAAATTGTGGGGGGGGAGGAGAATGGGGCTAATGATCATAACTGCCTTGTAGGGCATGTTATGCTCAGACATGTGTCTCTGAGCAATGGTGGGCATAGAGATGTATCTCATTTGTCTTTATTATTAGCTGAACCAGTTTTATCATTAGATTTATTATATTATGGTATACTGTGTTTTTCTCACATTTTCAATAAGTTGGAAGCTTTTTTGGACCATTTCTATTTTATATACATAGAAACTAAGACAAAAAGAATATAAGGAATGGATTCCTATCCTTTAAGAATAAAACATTTTCTCTGTGTAAAACATACAATTCCAGAATTTAATGCTCTTTTCTTTGGCTAATCATATTGTTTCATAATATGTATCCTACTTTGTAGAAAATATAATGGTAAAAAGTAGTCCTTAAATAATATAAAAGGAAGGTCTATATTTATGTCAGTGGCAATAAATTGTGGGGGAAGGAGAGAGCAGGGATTTGGGTGTGGACTGTGAATTGTGATAAAGACACAGATGGGTGTGTCTATTCGGTGGGGAGAATTATTCAGTCCCAAAGTGTCAAAGGCCAATGGATGTATCAGCTTACTCTGCCCTCTTGGTGCTTAGGGCTCCACTATGCTGGCAGGTGTTGTCTGATCCCTACAGGAGAAGGGGGCAAGTGTCAATCTGCTTTTTGGCCTTCTAAAGGTGATTAAACTGTCACCATCTTGATTTTCACAATATCATACTTGATTCATGGCAAGCAAGAGGGAAAATTTCACCAGTCAAGACACTAGTTATGGATTTTACAGTGCCGCAGGAATTTAACCTGAAAATTAACCACACAGTTACAGAGAAGGTTAGAGCCATTTAAGCCTTTATGATCAAGAATTATTTCTAATGTCATAATTTTATAGCAAGAAAACTGTGTCAATTGATTAACTTCTACTGTAATTTGTTAGCTGCTCATTATACTTTCCTGTTTTGACTAATGAAAACATTTAGGGCTGCAACTTTATGGAAGCTAAGTAGGCCAGGCATCTTGTCTGTCTTAGAATAATTAGAGAATTTTGCATTGTCAGCCAGTGGGATACCTACCTCTCGTGGTTCATCTTTACAGAATGTTTTTCCTATTTCTTCTCCCTTCCCTCATTAGTGTCTGCTACTGAACTAAGCCCAACTCTCTAGAATATCACTATAAAACATTTTACAAACATTTATGGGGCTGATCCAGCTGATTTAAAGTATTATTAACTTACTAACTAGGGTGATAAGAAGACAAATCGTGTTCCCATGTAAGATAACTTAGGGGAACTTGTAGTATTAGGGCTTAAAAATGTTTTCCTAACTTACAAGAAGGACTTATCGAAGAAAAGCAAATCTGGTAAATACACCCCCGTTCTGTGTGTGTGATACATATCAATACATATATACACATCTATAATGCCACTCTTTCCCTTTGAGCCTAGCTATGGCTTCAGAATGCTCTGAACACAGCACTGTGTTGGAACACTGAACACAAGAGGTTGGAATTGGCATTAAAGATGAGCTAGACGGATAATTGCCCTGACTAGACTGTAAAGCCCTTATGGCAGGCACCAGGTCACAATTCAGGACTTGACATATATTAGGCATATATATATATAGAGAGAGAGAGAGATAGAGAGAGAGAGAGAGACAGTGTCTATCTCTGTCACTCAGGCTGGAGGGCAGTGGCGTGATCTTGGCTCACTGCAACCTCCGCCTCCCAGGTTCAAGCGATTCTCCTGCCTCAGCCTCCCAAGTAGCTGGGATTACAGGCGCCTGCCACCATGCCCAGCTAATTTTTATATTTTTAGTAGAGACGGGGTTCCTCCATGTTGGCCAGGCTGGTCTTGAACTCCTGACCTCAAGTGATCTGCCTGTCTTGGCTTCCCAAAATATGGAATTACAGGCATGAGCCACCGTGCCCTGCCTATTAGGCTCTTAATAAATGTTTTTTTTGAAAGAATAATGAGAGATGGATGAAAAAATGAAAGCATGAATGAAACTTCATTTTTTTCTATAATGGGTACAGGAACTCCTACAGGATGCTCTTCTCTCTGTTCTGTACCATGCCTCTAGTGAACACCAGCTCAGAGAATGTTAGAGCCGGAAGAGACCCTAGAGAAGATGTAATGCCAACTTTTTAGTTTACAGAAGTGAAAATAAAGTGCAACGGGCACATCCATCTAAAGTGCAGTGATACAGTTGGGCAGTGTCCCCACCCAAATCTCACCTTGAATTGTAATAATCCTCACATGACAAGGGCGTGGCCAGGTGGAGATAATTGACTCAAGGGGGCGGTTTCCCCATACTGTTCTCCTGGTAGTGAATAAGTCTCATGAGATCTGATGGTTTTATAAATGGGAGTTACCCTGCACATGCTGTCTTGCCTACTGCCATGTAAGTCATGACTTTGCCCTCATTAGCTTTCTGTCATGATTTTGAGGCCTCCCCAGCCATGTGAAATTATGAGTCAATTAAACCTCTTTCCTTTATAAATTACCCAGTCTCAGGTATGTCTTCATTAGCAGTGTGAAAACAGACTAATACATGCAGTATCTGAAGTTTGGGAGCCATTCTGTTCTCTTCCGTATGTTACTATTTGTGTGACCTTTGGCATTTTCTTTGCTTTTTTTTTTTTTCTTTTTTGAGACAGGGTCTCATTCTGTTGCCCAGGCTGGAGTGCAGTGGCACAATCTTGGCTCACTGCAACCTCTGCCCCCCAGGTTCAAGGGATCCTTCTAACTCAGCCTCCCGAGTAGCTGGGATCACAGGTGTGCGCCACCATGCTCGGCTGATTATTTTTGTATTTTTACTAGATACAATGTCTCGTCATGTTGCCCAGGCTGCTCTCGAACTCCTGAGCTGAAGCCATCCACCTGCCTCAGCCTCCCAAAGTGCAGGGATTACAGGCGTGAGCCACCTTGCCCGGCTTTTTGCTTCTTTATCAGTAAAATGGGGATAATGATCACATCTGCCTTGTAGGATTGTTGTGAAGCTTAAACAAGACAATGAACATAAAGTTTTAGTGCCTGGCACATGGTTAATACTCAAAAAATGTTAATTTTTCTTCTTTTTCTCCTCCTTTTCATTATTATTAGCTGAACCAGTAATGACACTGCAAGCAATTTTATCATTAGATTTATCATATTATGTTATGCTGTGTTTTTTTATCACATTTTCAACAAGTTGGAAGCTTTTTTGAACCATCTCTATTTTATATACATAGAAACTAAGACAAAAAGAATATAAGAAACAGATTCCTTTTATATAAAAATAAAACATTTTCTGTGTATAAAACATAAAATTCCAGAATTTCATGCTTTTCTCTTTGACTAATCATATAGTTTCATAATATATATCCTATATAATGGTAAAAGTTGTCTTTAAATAATACAAGATGTCGTTTAATAAAAAATGAGTGGAATGAACTGTCCTTTTATTTCAAAAAAAACCATTTCAACATTTACATTATATATTTAAACTTTCAGTTGGAGAGGGGGAAGTGAAAGGGAAAGTTTTAGTTGGCTTTGTGTTGGTTGCCAGGAAACATACAAAAGGATCAGAACAGATGAAACAAACAACTCCACATTGCTGGGAAGGTGGCATTCAGAGTCAAGTACTTCATTGGTAGGGAAACTCTGCAGCTTTGTCATCTAACTCTTCCAGACAAGAAAGTGGAATTGAAAACTACAACATGTTAATGGAAGCAAGGTTAGTTAAAGAGATTTTTGGGAAGGTGCTTTTCTAATGCATTTAAAATGAGGATTGGAAGTTGTTTTCTGTGTCAGTTACTATAAATGTGGGGAAAGCTTTACACATTTTTAATCAAGCCAGGTTAAACAGAGTATAAGGAAGGGGTAAAAATACCATTTTAAAAGCATTCAACTGTAAATTTTGAAAATAAACTCTAGAATCAAATAAGTGAGAGGGTTGAGGGCTTTCATTTCCTACCTCAGCTTGAACATTTTGCCTCCTGATCGTATGCCTTGAAAGGTTTGTACTTTCATTTTGGAATTCTGTTGCTAAGTTGAGTTTCTTTTCAAAGGCACCTGTTGAAGGAAAAAGAAGATCCATCCTTATAGAAATAGTTGAAGGCAACTGAGAAAAGGTGAAGCCATTATGAGTTGCCAGAAAGCTGTACTTGAGTTAAACATAGGGTCACAGCTTGGGCCAAAGAGTCCTGAGAGAACAGAAGGTGTAACTGCATTTGAAGACTATGGCACAGGCCTGCTTGAAAACCAACTCAGCGTGGGTGACTTTGTAAAAATACAGAAGGCCTTTGAGGTAAGTGTGAAGCTTATTGACCAGATAGTTTGAGTTGTTCATGAAGGAGCCTAGAATGAAACACAGAGATATTTTTCTTTAAGCATTAAAAAAATACACTTAATTGTTATAGCAGAGAATTAAAAATAATTGGTTAGGCCTGGATTTAACACAATGTGCTTGGTAGCTTTGCCCCTCAGTTCTTTGGGCCAAATAATATTCTTTAGTTTGAAATTGCTTCACTGAATTTCATTACTATCAAGAAAGAACTATTTATTGTTGGAAAAAATTTTTTTCTTAGAGATCAACATATTTTGGGGAAACAAAAAATTATGGCTGTGAGTGAAGAAAGCCAGATCTCTAAGGTGACCTCCAGGAATAATTGTTCTTGCATTTAATACGGACATAGAACTCAGCAAATGCAAATATGCATACCCAGTTTGCAAAAAATTTCCTCCTGTCTCACTCACCCTAAGTGGCACAGCTCCTTTTCTAAGCTGATTCTGGCACTTTGTTGTCCCAAGATCCCTTATGAGGGACGAGTCTCCCACTCATTTTGTAAATCCTGGAACAATGCCAATAAAAACAAAATTAGAATTTTTCATTTTAACTCTGCATAAAAAATAAACCATAGGAATTTAACTGTAAATGAATAATTTTCTTCTCTCTTAGTCAATGAATTTTGAATTCTGCAGCTATGCATAATGAACAGCATACATCAAAGTGGTTTTTAGTTTCAAATATGGGTAGAAAGAAGTGCTCTTCCATGACGTAGAATTTAGGTAGTCATGAGCCTCCAACATTTCTACTATATTATGTTTACTAAAGTATGATCTAGGGCCTTCTTAAGATTGTCCGTGGGTGCTTGGAGTATCCATACTAATTTGAAATAGAAAATATTTTGGAATACCACCTGGAAATTAATAAAATATAATAAAAGCTCACAATATATTAGCCTGTAATAGGCACACATTTTTATCTTTGGATATCCACAAAAGAATATAACAAGTTGGGTTCCACCTGTATTGATAAATTAATGTCCCAATAGTATCAATCATTTCTTTATAATAGAACTTATCATATTTAGTAGCAAGACATGCTCTGTCCTACACTTTTCTCATTTCAACCTTCATATATTTGCTATTCAACCAACCTCATTTGTCTGAAAGATTTCACTGCTGCTGCTCATGCCCAGTGCCCCAAGTAAATTTAGCATATTTTGATAGACATAGCAAACATTTTGACAGCTTGAGGACATTCAGTAAAACATAACAGCAGATTATGACAGCTTTGACTCTATAGTGAACAGAAATGTGGCAGTTTTGTTCCGGTGCTAAGAACACAAAGAATTTGAATGCTAGGGCCTATTAGGAGAGTCTACATTATAAAGTTGATGTGTTGGTGAAACTGCTTCAGAAGGTTAGAGGTGGGTGTTCTTTCCAAACTGCAGATTAGTCTTGAATGAACCCAAGTGAAACTGGAAAATTCAACCTCAAGTTTTAATTTATTTCTATTTTATGTTAAATATTTCAAAGGCCAGACCACTTATTTTGACATTACCGGTTGGAAAAGCAGGAACTAATGGACCAAAGAGGAGAAGAGAAGGTAATTCGGAGCTTGTATGAACATAGACAGTTTTTCTAAAAAAGAAATTGAGCTTTGCAGGTGTACCTTCAAAAAAAAAAAATGAAGTTCATCCATTTTAGCAGACTCAACAGCCAGAGAATGGAATAATCCCATGGCACATGTGCAGCCAGTACTAAAAGTTAGACCTTTGAGCCAACATGATTTCCAAACACAGCACGGACACCTAAAGAAGAATGATGCACTAGATGACTTTAATGGTATCCAGTCCATCTGTCATGAGTTTTAGGCCCAGAGGCCACAGGTATAGATTGCTGTAAAAGGATAAAATGCCCTCAATAGCATTCCTGCAACTTTGAACTCTAAAGGCAGTGATTTGTGGTCCAGTTACTAAGGACATGCTCTTAGAAATGTCAAGATTCTGGCACCAGATTCCTTTATATCTTCATTTTTTTTTTCTTACACAGATTGCTTGTTTGGGGCTGAAGAGTTGTCAGATATTAGGTGAAGTCCATCTCCTTAAATAGCAGTGGCAATTCTTAAGTGAAAAAACAGGAAGTTGGGTCTTTGAATTATGCAGTAAATGTTTTACGTGTATTTCCGAATAAAATATCACATACCATACTAATCGTAGTAGTAACATTTAGGAATAAAGCAATTAGTGCTTATGTTCATTGTGCAGTTGTATAAATGGATCAGAATCATGCAGTGTTTCAGATCTAGGAGTCAGATTTCCTGAGCTTAAATCCCGGCTTTGCTACTTACAATGTGACTCTGTGCAAATACTTAATCTCTCTGGGCCTCAGTTTCCTTTATTTCTAACATGAGGATAACAGAGCTTTCATGAAGATTAGAGGAGGTACTATCTGGAAAGCACTTTAAAAAGTGCATGCCACAGAGAGTAAGTGCTCAATTAACATTAGATAATTGAGCTAATTATCTCATTTAGTAAGTAGAAGTTAAACCATGTGACCTCTGACAGTGCCTTGATTCTAATTCATACTTTTCTTAAAGGAAATTAAACTTCAAGTGACACTTGCTGCTATGCGTCTTCATTCCTATTAGTTGTGGAAGGAAGTGGTTAGAGCTGCAAAGACATAAATTCACATAGAAGAGTCAAAAGCATAATTGTTCTATCTCTCATTTCATATTTTCTTAGCAGGCAAAAATTCTAATTGACGTCTTGATTCTTTTCTTTGGAACAAATAAGTTACCTGGGTAGAAGCACAGAAAAGTAACTTGTGGATTTCATTTTCCTTTAAGTGATGGTGTCAAAAGAGCCATATATCAGCCTGAAGGGAGAGAAACTTGCATTATTCATAGAATCGTAAAATGGTTGTTACTCAAACTTCCCTGTAGCACTTACAATACTTAGAGAAATGACATGGTCTCTGGATGCTCATATTATTTTGATGTCAACCATATTTTACATTTTCTTTGAAACTCCAAAAGCCAACTATTGTTTGAGGAAGAGTAGCTGTGGTTTGCTGATTTTATAGGAGTGGTGAGAAGTAAAAATTTTGGTCTAAGGAAAATGGAACTTTGGGAAAGCCATGGAGCTTGATATTTATTGAGCTTCTCCTGAGAGTCTGGCTATGTAGGTTCTGAGTGTTTCTTTTTTTACATTCTCCATTGTTGATCTCTGTATGTCAATGATGGTTTAACATTGGACCTTGATCCTAGATTAATTGCTGCCCGTTTGGTCTGAGACCATAGTTTGCCCTGTGCTCCTGGGCTCTCCAGGTTAGGTCCTGAACTGCCTTTATCAGCAACTGTGTCTATATCTTCTCCTGGCACACCTGTTCTGGCCTGACTGTAAGCTGAGAGCTGGAGGCTGGCTTTACCCTGTCAGCTCCATGCTATCATTTGCCCAAGCCCTACTAAATCTTTAGCTTTAACTATACCTAGAAGCCACATGTAAAATGTGAGGTATTTATCCTTAAAGTAGGAAGGGCCAAATAGTTTTAGTGTAAGAAAGGCACAGTAAAAATCCTAGCAAGACTGCCCCAGAGACTGTGTGGTGAGAATTCTTAAAACAAATCTGTCTTGGAGGTGAATGAGATCTAAACACAATGCACTTATTCAAACTGAATCTCAAAAGACTGGAGAAGTTCAGTAGTCAATTCTGCAAGTTCTAGAATTGTGCTTAACGGGTAATACAATTACATTTAAAGAATTTTGATATTCTCATCCTTGATTATCTTTATAAAATTCCCAAAACACCTCAACAGTATCTTGGGGATTTTAGAAAGCATTCTACAGCAGGGTCTATGAACTGTGCTTGTTTGCTTCAAGACAAAGCTGAGGATGTTGATGTCCTGCCAGGCAAGCTAGGCTCTACAGGAATATAGAAAGTCAGATTGGGCCTTTTCTTACCTTTTTTTTAACTTGTCCTTCTTTCTAAACTGTCAAGCTTCCTCCAAATTTATGGAGGACCCATCCTTCTCTAGGCCTTCTCATTGCCCATTGTACCTTCACTACTAAGGTACCCAAATGAACAGGTCTTCCTAGACGTGTCTCATACTCCAAAACTATTCTTATATCTTCCTTCTTGCCTTTCTACCCAGGCACCACCATCCCAAACACATAAATAAAATTACTCATTTTTGTTTCACTCCCTTTCCCCAGAACCTTTAGATGTTCTTATCTCTGATAAAATGAGATGGTCCATAAAGTTCATTTAAAATTTTTTCTTAGATAAAACTGTTAAGGTATAAAGTTGGATATTATGCTATCCAACAATGCTGAGAATTAGAAAATATTTTTTATAGTGTATGCAAACTGTGTAAAATATATAATATCTGCAACATGACAGAGGTATTATTTCCTGTTCACATAAAGTAAAAAGCAGGTATTTCTAATGGGTAAGCAGTTGCAAGCAAGGATTCAGGTCTCAGGCTGTCCCCACCTTCCGCCTTCTACACAAGCCATACATCAGCTGGTAGCAGTGGAGAGCACTAGGGAATGTTTTCTGTGGTCCAGCTCACATCCCATTGGCCAGCACTCAGTCATATGGCTACAGGTAACTTCAAGTTACTTCAAGTCGTATGGCAAGTAGGGACAGCTGTGTGCCCAGATAATGATCTCACCCATGGTCCTCTTAGAATTTTGTGGGAGGAAAATTTCCTTCTCTCCTAATGAACCAGCATGCTTCAGTTTGTAAATTATGGAGACCTTTGTGTCTAATTGTATTTTGTGTTCTGTCTTAGCTGCCAGGAAGTTCAAAGCTAAATTTAGTGTTCAACTCTTACAACTATGCTTAACTTAGGTTTTCTGGGACAATAATCTGCTATTTTATTATATAATTCTTGTTCTTTTATCTTTGTTTTAATAGTCGGTCCTATTGCCTATGTATCTTCTGTTGTAACTGAACTAAAATTCTTTCTGGAAATCAGTGTAGGTAAAAATGATGAATAAAAATTGAATACCTTTCAAGTATAGTAAGATTTTATAAAGCACTTATGTTGGCATCATGTTATTTGATCCTTTACCAGCCTGAAACATAGGCACGGCATAAATTTTTACTTCCCATTTACAAATAAGGAGATGAAGGACTAAAAATATTCAATTGAATTCTCCCATGGGCAGAGCCAGAACTCAGAGGCAGATTGTCAACTTTGGAGTCCATATATGGCATGATTTCCACTGGCCACAAGATAACCTTCCTTTGGCATGTTGCTCTAAGGAACATGAATCCAACAGGATAAAGATTTCCTAAACAAAATGCATGTTAAGTTAATAGTGCACAGGCCCTGTGCTCTGCTAACTTGGAACTAACGCATAATCAGCAAATAATCAACAACTGCTACAATGAAATCAAGGTAGAGAAAGGGTGGAAGAATGAAAAGAAGATAATAACCAATTGCTTTTTTGAAAAATATTTTTTTCTTTCTAAAGGCATCTCAGTGGAGACTTGTGAGAAGGTAAACAGGTGAAGCTTAGTCTCACCTGTATATAGTAAAAAGTGCATTCTGCAGCCTCAGTCAATTCATCATCTGCTGAACAAAGACAGCAGGTCATACCATTTCTCACGCATTGCTCTTAGTGCAATCAAAATACCTATTTTTAATGGCAGCAGAAAACATTAAGGTGATAGCATGAAGACAAATCCAATACTACTGCAGTTGGCACAATTAGAAATGGCAGAGGAATTCTGTGGTGGTTTTATCTGATTTGTTAAAATTCATGAATAATGCTAGCAAATGGCGTCATCACCAAAACTCAAGGAAGTGAAGTTGTATCTCACTACAAATGAAAAATTTGCCTTCCAAATCCTGCTGCCTTTGTGCTGATTTTTGTGACAAGTTCTAACAGCTTCCTGCCTTTTCAAACTCTCTGTGTACTTTTACAACAGGCACTTACAAAAATTAATCTGGATCAGTGTGTGATGAAGAGTGCCTTTAGTAAACAAGTGGTTTAACCTTGAGTGTTGGCCAAAACTGGAGAAGTGAAGACAACCAAGAAAAGCTTGTTACAGAGGAGGGAGGGAGAAAGAAAGCAAAGATGTCTACTGCTGTTCATGTGTAGTGCATCAGCTTAGCCAGACTTGTGAACTAAGGGCACTGCTACTTTTGAAATTTTCCTGAGAGTTAAACAAGAAAAATGAATAAAAGAATGAAAGAACCATTATTTGTGGCATTTTGGTTTCAATTTGTCACATTTTGCCAAGTATAACGTATTAATGATGACACAAGACACCCTCACTCTATTGCTAGAAATAGGAATCCTCTAAACTGTCCCTTAGTGATTTCTGACCGTTTCCCAAGGCTCTACCTCATACTTGTGCAAGAAAAAGCCCCTTGGGGTCTTTTCTCCCTTCATCATGTCTCACCAACGTTCTATGGATGTGACTATTATGAAATCCTGATTCTCTAGGCACCGACATCTCTGTGGAGGCATTACCAGAGACATTATGTTCCTCTACTGCTTCACTTCCCATGTGTGCATGTGTACACCTTTCTCTAATCTTCTCAATAGACCCAAGGCCAAATTATCACACTAGTTTTGCTACAGATGTGTACTCTTCAATATGTGCTACATTTGGTTATTTAAATAAAGTAAGAATTTCATAAAATAAAGTTCAGTTCCTCACAAGCACCAGCCATTTCAAGTACGCAGTAGCTACTATACTGGACTGCAAAGAATATAGAACATTTTCATCATTGCAGAAAGTTCCATTGGACAATGCTGCTTCGAACCCTTTCTCATGACTTCGTACTAACTTGTTCTGCTTCCTCACTTCTGGACATATATTTGTGGCAAGGAGCTACTCTCAGCTCCTCAATCCCACTATAAACACATCAGACTGCCCATGTCTTAGAACCCAGAGGCCAAACTGATCCTTGGCCCCAGAGATAGCAGAAAATATTTCTCTTCACTCTAGTCTAAGACCTATTTTTCCATGTTCCCTTCCTAGGACTGTAAAGAATGGGAAGATCTATTCCTTTCAGGGGAATCCTTCCTTCTTCCTTCTGGTGCAACTCCCCTCCTCTCAACTCCCAACACACACACAGGTGTTTAGTCTGGATTTATGGTTCCAATGAGTCCATCACAAAATTATCTGACCTGGGCCATTACCCAAAGAGTTTCAGTCATGCTGATCATATTTTACTTACTCCTGTTTTAGGGCCTACCAGATGCTGGTGCCTCAGTTTGGAATATTTCTCTCCCATCCCCAACAATTTCCTGGCCAACTCCTACTCACATGTGTGTAAATACCACTGCCTTAGGAAAGCCTTTTCTTACCATGCAGGCGGGATTAGCGCCCTACAATGACCCTGTTTTCTCTTCTCATAGCTTCCTATATGTTCCTTTGGTTGCTTTCATCATAGATGCTCTGATTAACGCAATGCCATTATTTGTTTAAAGTCAAATAGAAGTCCCAGGCAGGCTATGAGAGACAAAATTGAGTGTGAGAGAATCGCAACATAGATTCTGGAGGAGAGAGGCCATGAGATGAGATATCTGTAGGAGAGAACAGACTGTTTAAGACTGGACCTTACAAAATTCTTCAAGGTGGTGGAGAAACAACTGGAGTTGGTACAAGAAATAAAGCAGCTGAGTTATTTTCCAGAAGTAGAAGGAGAAGAAGCAAACAAACAAAAAAGGAGGGTATAGCCAGCCATATAAAATTTCATTTATTTTTATGATTCCTATTTAGCAATCCTTGTATTATTAAAATAAATAAGACTGGGCATGGTGACTCACGCCTGTAATCCCAGAACTTTGGGAGGCCAAGGCGGGCACAACTACTTGAGGTCAGGAGTTCAAGACTAGCTTGGCCAACATGGTAAAATCCCATCTCTACAAAAATACGAAAACTAGCCAGGCATTATGGCAGGTGTCTGTAATCCCAGCTACTCGGGAGGCTGAGGGGGGAGAATTGCTTGAACCCGGGAGGTGAAGGTTGCAGTGAGCTGAGATTGCACCACTGCACTTCAGCCTGGGTGACTGAGCGAAACTCAATCTCAAAACTAAAAATAAATAAATAAATAAATTAAATTAAATAAATAAAAGTAACATTATTCTCATGGTAAAAAATCCAAGCTAAACATGAAATTTCCCCCTTAGCATGGTCCATTCTCAGTCATTATACTCCCCTGGGTAACTACTCTTAATATTTTCTGGTGTATTTTAAGTGCATTTTTATCCATATATACACATATACATATCTCATGTAGCTTTTTTAATGTAGAATATATTTACATATATTATATTTTATGTATTCAAG